>NW_019805497.1:150818-301637 GCF_000001405.40 Homo sapiens
ACAATGTAATACTATACAAAATTAAGAACAAATGAATTACAGATACACGCAACAAAAATTGGTGAATTTCACAAGTATAATGTTGAGTAAAAAAAGCTAAAGAAAAAAATGCATTCAGCATAATTACATTTACATAAAGTTCAGAAAAAAGGCAACCATTAAATTTAAGAATACATACTATCATGGTAAACCCATATAGAAAATTTAAGAAATTATTACTACAAAAAAACAGGCTATGGTTACTTATGGGGAGGTGAGAGATTGTGGTAGGAAAGAGGAATGATTCTGAGGCACTGGCATATTCCATTTCTTTAGATCATGGATGTTCACTTTATGATTCATAAAGCAGTATGTTTATGTTTTATGTACGTTTCCATATTATTATTTCCATATCACGGGAATCTGAGGCCTAGATTATTTAAATATTTTGAAATTTCCAGTGGCAACACACCTCTTAAATATTACAGCAGAAAGGCTGGGGGCGGTGGCTCACATCTGTAATCCCAGCATTTTGGAATGCCGAAGCAGGTGGATCCCCTGAGGTCAGGAGTTCAAGACCAGCCTGACCAACATGGTGAAATCCCATCTCTACTAAAAATACAAAAATTAGCTGGGGAGGGATGGGTGGTGGGTGCCTGTAATCCCAGCTACTCGGGAGGCTGAGGCAGGAGAATGGCTTGAACCCAGGAGGCGGAGTGCCATTGCACTCCAGCCTGGGCACCACAGTGAGACTCCGTCTCAAAAAAAAAAACAAGCAAACATTATAGCAGAAAAATTTTATGCATAAAATTAGATTAAATAATCAAATTAGATACAGATTGTGGTGGACTGTGTTAACTAGACAAAGAACTTGCAACTCTTATTTGCAGAGAAGGACCATTGGAAGCTGAATAGAAATAGGTAAACAACCAATTCATGTACCATCATCCATCCAGCCTCCCAAGCCAGAGACATAGCATATCCAGCGATGAGCAGTCACCTTTCACCTTCCTTCATGATAAGTTGTGAATCTGGAATACCATGTAGGATTAGTTACAGACCTAACCCGATGACCTACATACAGCAGGAAGTTCCAACCTCAGGGCTTAAAAAAAGACTTTATTTTGGTAAGCCATGTCATATTGAACACATACATTTATTGCCATTTTCTCCTCAGATTTCACCAAAATTATAGTGTAGGAATAAAAAAAAGTATATAAATCCACAAAGATAAAAGAGATTTAAATAGAAGACTGCAACAAATGATGTCAACTAAGTTTTGTTTTATTTTGTTTATTTTAATTGTCTTTATTTTGGTATATAGGAACTTTTGCATTTTTGTTTCAGTGGTTTTCTGTGTATTAATATCTTTATATAATTACCTCTTTCTTTTCTTACTTGGGCTTCTACTGTTCAGTTTGTCAGCTTTAACTGAGTGACCTTTAACTGCTTTCTACAGGACAATCAATGAGATTATTACATTGTTTTTCTTTCTTCCATCTTCTCTAATTTTTTTTTTACTTTGTCAGTGTATTAGTCTGTTCTCATGCTGCTAATAAAGACATACGTGAGACTGGGTAATTTATAAAGGAAAGAGGTTTAATTGACTCGCACTTCCACATGGCTGTGGAGGCCTCACCATCATGGCTGAAAGTGAATGAGGAGCAAAGTCACCGCTTACATGATGGCAGGCAAGAGAACTTGTGCAGGGGAACTCCCATTTATAAAACCATCAGATCTCGTGAGACTTATTCACTACCACAAGAACAGTATGGGGGAAACTGCCCCCATGATTCAATTATCTCCACTTGCCCCACCTTTGACATGTGGGGATTATTACAATTCACGGTGAGATTTGGGTGGGAACAGAGCAAAGCCATATTAGTCAGTAAATGTAGCATTTGTATAATAGTCTTCCACCCTTAAGCCCAGCTTTATTATGCATTTATAGTTTAAATATATTTATTATATAAATTATTTAATATATGTATATATTAAATTGACCTAAATTTATAAGTATATATTAAATTGATCTAAATTTATTTATTCATTTATAACAAATATATTTAATAAATATGTTCACTGGTTGCCATCCATCTTTTGGCTGCAGTTTCCTCAGTCATTCTTTTGGTCATATAAGGCTTGTACTCTAGTGGAGTCCTCAGAAATAGCCTATGAAAATAATATTCCTTGAGTTCTTACATGTTTAAAATAGCTTTTTCCAAAGGCCTGAAATGTGAAGGAGAGCTTGATATAAAATCCTTTATATACTTCTAGACATTTTTTAAAATGTTGCTTCACTATTATTTTGTTTTTTGTATTGCTTTCTGTAAAGGTTGTACATCTGAGATATGGTGAATGCTATTACAAATTCACTTAAGTAATTTTACATTGAAAATAAAAGTGTTTTATGAATATGAATATAATATGAATACTAATTTTGTTGGAGCACAGCAGGATGGTACAATGTTACGAAATTAAGAAATTTATGAAGCAGAAATATACTTGAGATTAGTGTTGGTGCATTATAATTTTGTTTAGTTAAACTATGATAGTGTACTATTTAAAATATAACTCTGTCAGAATTTACAAATATTTTTGTATACCATAGAATGACTAAACTGAACTTTTTTTGTGATGAAGCCTATGTTGAATTCCTTCCCTTCCTGAAAAACAAACAAACAAAACCTCAGTATGGCTGGACGTTTTCTTCTCTTTCTTCCTAGCATCAATCAAATTTTTAGGAATGTACTAAATTTATTTCACTACTTTGTAAATCAACATAAACACTACTACTCTATTTCACTATTTTGTAAATCAACAAAATGGTATTGCATATTTTATAAATGATTCTTCCAAAATTCAGTTGCATTTTCTTTTCAGAAGGAGCTGAACATCTTTAAACAAAACAGTTAATAAATTTACATTGCCAGAAAACCTTCAACTTTGGAAATTCTTAGAGAGTTGTGATTTTTAAAAATAAAGATTACAAATAAAAATACATTGAACTTTATCCCTACAAAGCAAGGAAAAAACTTAAATGGATACAAAGAGTAGGAGGAACTAGAGATGACAAAGTTGTTATTAAAAAACATAAATATATATTTTTACTCTTTAGCACATGCCTGTGTGCACTCATGCAACCATACACACAGTTATTTGAGGAATACAACTTTTCTAATGTTATTCATATTTGAGTTTCCTCTATAAACAGTAATCTTGATGGAAGTAATTTATTAAATTTTTATATCCAAATTGTGAAATACACTTTCTTATGATAAAATCTTATTTTTTTTTAACTTTTAAAATTTCCTTAATTGGTTTTAATAGCTTCATAAAAGAGCTGAAAAGTATCCCAGCACTTTGGGAGGCAGAGGCGGGCGGATCACGGGGTCAGGAGATGGAGAGCATCCTGGCTAACACAGTGAAATCCCGTCTCTACTAAAAAATACAAAAAATTACCCATGCGTGTTGGCGGGGGCCTGTAGTCCCAGCTACTCGGGAGGCTGAGGCAGGAGAATGGCGTGAACCCGGGAGGCGGAGCTTGCAGTGAGCCGAGATGGCGCCACTGCACTCCAGCCTGGGCGACAGAGCGAGACTCCATCTCACACACACACAAAAAAAACACCTGGAAGTGAGAGGAGTAAACACAAAATAGTGCAAAACTTGTCCAACTTAGGAATGGGAACTGGTGTGTAAATTCTCCCTGATTCTGTCTCAAGTGGAAAATACACCTGAGATGATTTCTACAAGGCTTCTTAGAAAGACTGAGCCCCAAGTAATACTGCAATAATTAGTGCAACAGTGTACTCTAAGGTTTAGTTTTCTTCCTTCCTTTCCGTCTCTTCCCAGTTTCCCACTTCTCTTCTTTGAGATAATTTAACAACAAACAATAAAAAAAAAAACTATCTGCTTACAAGCCTTTGTATTCAGCTCTGCTTTTGGAGAGGACCTAGGCATGAGACAAACTGAAATATTTTGAAGCATAAGCATTTTTACTGAGAATCTTTTTTTTTTAGATTAAAGGTTCAGAAAATGAAATTAATCATATTTCAGAATTTGATGGACTAAATGCTCTACTAATAACAAAAACAAGTTTACAGGCAGAGTGTTCGGAACCGTTGTTGATTAGGAAGAAGAATTTTTTTTGTGCAAAGATGGCTGGCATTTCCAAAAAAATTACATTTCCATTATTATCTAACATCCCAGCTTTTCTATACCATTTCAATTTTTATTAAACTTTAGTTTTTTAAATGGCGCATACAAGTGCTAAATGAATTGCTTTGTTCAGATTTAAATAAACTACCTACAGTTTTGAACTCTTTGACTGAATTTTTGTATATTTGTAGTATACTTTTCTATAATCCTATCAATACAGAAAGTTACTAAGACTTGTAGTTTCTACAAAATTTTATATGCGTGACCCTAACTTTGGAATATTCCAGACCATATTTCTCAAAAAAGTCTATTTTAGAGAGAATTTCTCCTATATCTTCCTTCCAAATCAGTTTGTTATAGCGGGAAATAAGTTTTTAAGGAACATCAGGACATATAAATCCACTCCATATATCTAACTAAAATGTGAACTCCTGGAAGGAAGAAATTTTTGTCTCTTTTTAAAACGATTATATCCTCCGTGTTTAGAGCAATGACTGACATAAGGTAGGTACTCAGTAGATACTTGTTAAATCGAATAAATTAATATATAAGAACTCAATAATAGGAAAGGAGCTCAATAGGTATATTCACAATGAAATCATCACTGAGGTTTTTCTTTAGCCTATAGAATTTGGAGCAAAATTGAACAAAAGCAAATTTCAGTAAGTTTAGAAATATTTATCTTACAATTAACAAAACAGTATGACTAAATATATACACATAAAAAGTCCATGTAGAGTTAAAAGTAAGTTGGCATGAAAGCAGAAGAAGAAATGCTTTTTGATTTTTAAGGGTTAAGTTGAAGTTTCTTTTAAAATAATAAATAACATTATGGATAATTATAGGCTCAGTAAATACTACCAAGTTTAAACATTGGTATAAAAAGATAAATAAATATTGTTTCTGTCCACAAGATGGCAGAAAAGATTTATTTTAGAATCAGTAAACAACCTGTCATTAAACCAAATAATGTGTATCTTAAAAAGCTAATGTGTAAGAAATGCAATTTTTTTTTGTGGTTGTTCCTTAGAGGTAAAACTTCATCAGAAAGGTTCTATCATTGGTGCATAGAGTTTCTGCGACTTTTTATACTTGCCTTCTCCCTTCTCCCTTCTAAACTCTCCACTTTTTTTTTTTTTTTTTTCCTGTGATGCAGCAGTCTCTCTCCCGCCCAGGCTGGAGTGCAGTGGCGGGATCTCGGCTCATTGCAACCTCTGCCTCCCGGGTTCAAGCGATTTTCCTGCCTCAGCCTCCTGAGTAGTTGGGGCCCGCGCCACTACTCCTGGCTAATTTTTGTATTTTTAGTACAGACGGCGTTTCACCATGTTGGCCAAGTTGGTCTCGAGTTCCTGACCTCAAGTGGTCCACCTGCCTCGGCCTCTCAAAGTGCTGGGATTACAGGCCACCGCGCCCGGCCTTATTTCATTTTTTAATATACATCCAGATTAATCTTAAATTAGAAATCTGAACATGTTACTCCCTAACTAAAAATACTTTGATAATTCCTTAAACCACAAGGAATAAAGAATAATCCGGACGGGCGCGGTGGCTCACGCCTGTAATCCCAGCACTTTGGGAGGCGGAGGCGGGCAGAGATCAGACCATCCTGGCTAACACGGTGAAACCCCGCCTCTACTAAAAATACAAAAACAAAAAATTAGCCGGGCCTGGTGGCGGGCGCCTGTAGTCCCAGCTACTCGGGAGGCTGAGGCAGGAGAATGGCGTGAACCCGGGAGGCAGAGCTTGCAGTGAGCTGATCTCGCACCACTGCACTCCAGCCTGGGCAACAGAGCAAGACTCCGTCTCAAAAAAAAAAAAAAAAAAAAAAAAGAATAATCCACTTAGTTTATTCACTCAACCAGTATCAGTAACCATGTTCTCTTTACAAGGCACTATGTATGTATCATGGGCACTAGCAATAGAAACACAAATAATTCACGAAGCTTTCCATTTTGAATATTATAAAGTTGTAAAGATATAGCTGCAAGAAAGCAATTACCTAGAGAATGGTTTGGGGACTGTGAAGGCACAAAACGATAAGGCTTAAGGGTAAATTCGACTATGGATCATCCAGGTCTGGAACTCAGGGAAAATACCTGGGCTTGAGAGGGCAGTTTAGAAATCATCAGCATATAAGTACAATTAAAGAGCTATAAGCATTAGTGGGTAATTTATTATTGACTTATATGGTTTGGCTCTTATGTTCCCACCCAAATCTCATCTGGAATTATAATTACCACGTGTTGGGGGAGGGGCCTGATGGGAGGTGATTCAATCATGTGGCGGACTTCTCTCTTGCTGTACTTGTGAGAGTTAGTGAGTTCTCACGAGATCTGGTTGTTTGAAAGCGTGTAGCACTTCCTCCATCTCCCGGTCTCTTTCCTGTCCTGCCATGGTAAAGAAGTGCTTATTTCCCCTTCGCTTTCCACCACGAATATTTTTCCTGAGGCCTCCCAGTCATGCTTCCTGTTTTGCCTGCAGAACTGTGAGTTAATTACATCTCTTTTCTTCATAAATTACCCAGTCTCGGGTATTTCTTTACAGCAGTCTGAAAACGGAGTAATAACATTGATTCTTAGAGTTATAAATAATAATTACAAACATATTCAAGAGCTACAGAAATGATTAAAGTGAAGTTCACACAGATTATTTCCATTGCCTAACATTTTGACACACATGTATCATATATACACATACACATATATAATATACATATTGATATCTCACACTTATCTTACACATAAACACAACTTTTATGTGTACACTCTAAATATCTATGTATAATATATCTGAGGCAGAAAAATAGGGAATTAGGATAGACAAGGGTTGAGGCATAAGTAAGCAAAGAATAGCAGGTGCAGCCCGTTCTAGGCAAAGGAATAGCAGGTGCAGCCAGTTCTAGGCAAAGGAATAGCAGGTGCAGCCAGTTCTAAGCAAAGGAATAGCAGGTGCAGCCAGTTCTAGGCAAGATTAGGCAGCATACAGGCCACGTCTTCACTCCTGTGATTACAAGACAGAAGTTTCCATTTCAGCCTCTGTTGGGTTGCAGGCCCATCTTTCATAGGGTATAACCAACTGGAGGCCACTAAAGGGCACCTAGGGGTGTTGCCAAGTTATTTTGGCTTTATAAAAACCCTAATTGGAGAGGCTCTTGATCTGCTTGCTACAGCCGGCTCCCACTCTGTGAATTGTTGTCAATAAATCTGTGCTTTCCTTGCTGCATTCTCCGGTTGCTTTGTCTTTCCTTGCTCTGTTCTTTTGTCACTTTGTTTCTGCATTTTGTTCAATTCTTTGTTCAACAGGGCAAGAACCTGGACAACTCTATCCAGTAACATATTTATGTATACATAATACATCATAAATAGTGCCATAATGTGCATCCTGTTTTTGAACTGCAATTCACTTAACAGTAACTCAGGAAGAGGGAGGTGGAGGACACAGCAAGTAAGACTGAAAAAGTATGGCCAGGAAGCTAAATAAGAATCTAGAGAATGAGGTCATGTAAGACAAGAATTGAAAGACTTTTCGGAATGGATAATTTATTGTCAAATGCTGCACAATTAAGAACCGAAACAAGAACTAAGAACTATTGACTGGATTTGGCAATTAGACTGGATGTGACCTCTGCCAGAACAGCTTCAGTAGCATGGCAGGGTGGGAACCTGATTGCTGTGTTGAGACGCAAAGAGGGGGCGTTAGTAATCATGAACTGTTTCTATGATAAAGTCCCTTTGAAAAGACAGGGGAAAAACATTCTCTTTTCTCCACAGCCTCATCAACGTTTGTTATCTTTTGTCTTTTTAATAATAGTCATCCTAAAGGTGTAAGGTGATATTTTATGGTGGTTTGATTTGCATTTCCCTGATGATTAGAGATGTTGAGTACTTTTTCATATGCCTGTTCACCATCTGAATTTCTTCTTTTGATACGTGTTTATTTAAGTACTTTGCCGAATTTTTAATTCAGTTATTTATACTTTTGGTACTGAGTTGTATAAGTTCTTTATATATTTTGGGTATTAACTTCTTATTAGGTGAATGGTTTGCAAATGCTTTTTCCAATTCCATAAGTTGCCTTTTGATTTAGGTGATTGCTTCCTTTGCTGTGCAGAACTTTTTAATTTCATGTAATACTGGATATCTATTTTTGCTTTTGTTGCCATATCCAAAAACATATTGCCAAGACCACTGTCAAAAAGCTTTTTCCCTATGTTTTCTTCTAGGAGTTTTACAGTTGCATGTTGTTTAAGTCTCTAATTCATTATAGATTGGTTTTTGTACGTGCGTGATAGGGGTTCAATTTAATTTTTTTTTTTTGCATGTGGATAACCAGTTTTCCAAACACCAATTTTTTCTTTCTTAATAAACTATACCCATTATGTGTTCTTGGCACCCTAGTAGAAGATACATTGACCATAAATGTATGGGCTTATTTCTGGGCTCTCTAGTCTTTTCCACTGATTTAGATGTTTGTTTTTATGACAATACTGTACTGTTTTGATTACTATAGCTTTGTAATATGATTTGAAGTCAAGCAGTGTGATGCTTCTAGCTTTATTCTTCTTAAAATTGCTTTGGCTATTCAGGGTCTTTTGTAGTTCCATGCGAATTTTAGAATTGTTTTTTCTATTTCTGTATAAATTGCCATTGGGATTTTGATAAGGATGACATTGAATCTGTAGATTGCTTTGGGTAGTGTGAACATTTTAACAATTTTAATTTTTCCAATCCATGAACACGGAACGTCTTTCTATTTGTGTCTTTTGAAAAATTTCTTTTGGTAATGTTTTACAGTTTTCAGGGTACAGGTCTTTTATTTCTTAATTTCTAAGTATTTCCTTGTTGTTATTGTTGCTAATTTAAATGAGCTTGTTTCTTGGTTTTCCTTTTGGAAAGTTTGTTTTTAGTGTATAGAAACACCACTGATTTTTGTATGTTAACTTTGTATCCTGTAATTTTATTGACTTTTTAAGTTAGTTATAATAGTGTTTTGTGTAGAGTCTAGGGATTTCCAGGTATATGATCATATCATCTGCAGAAAAAGATGATTTTTCTTTTTCCCTTTCGATTTGGATACTTATTTTTTCTTCTTCTTCTTGCCTGATTGCTCTGGCTAGGACTTCCAGTACTATGCTGAATAGCTGTGGTGAGAGTTGGCATTCTTGCCTTCTTACAGATCTTAGAGAAAAAGCTTTCAGATTTTCCCCGTTGATTATTATGTTAGCTGTGCCTCTTTCATATATGTCATTTATTGTGCTGAGGAAAGTTTCTTTCATATCTGTTTTGTTGATAGTTTTTATCTTAATGTTGAATTTGGTCCAATATTTTTTCTTGCATCTACTGAGATTATGTAGTTTATTCTTCTGTTAATTTAGTATATCACATTGATCGGTTCTTACATGTTGAACTGTCCTTGTATGTCAGGGATAAAATCTGCTTAGTCATGATATATGATTATTTTAATTCTTTTGCTAATATTTCATTGAAGATTTTCACATTTATGGCCGTTGAGAATGTTGGCCTGCAGTTTTCTTTTTTGGTGTTGATTTTTTCTGGCTTTAGAATTGTGTTGTTAGCCTCATAAAATGAGCTTGAGAGTATTATCTCTTCTATTTTTTTGCAAGAGTTTAAGAAGGGTTTGTATTAGTTCTTTGAATATTTGGTAGAATTCACTCATGAAGCCTTCTCGTCCTCAGCTTTTCCTTGTTGGAAGGTTTTTTATTACTGATTCAATCTTCTTGTTTGTTATTGGTCTACTCAGCCTTTCTATTAGTTCTTAGTTCAGCATTAGTAGGTTTTATATTTCTATTGCTTATTTCTTTTAGATTGTCAAATTTGTTGGTGTATAATTATTCATCATAGTTGTTTAATATCATTTTTATTTCTGTGGCATTAATTGTAAAGCCTCCTTTTTCATTTCTGTGTTTTATAATTTGAGTTTTCTTTCCTTTTTTCTTAGTTTAGCTAAAAGTTTGTTAATTTTATCTTTAAAAAAACCAACTCTGTAATATTATTTTTTCTATTGTTTCTCTCTCTTATATTTTCTTTCTTTCTGCTCTGATCATTATTATTTTCTTCCTCCTGTTGCCTTTGTGTTTAGTTTGTTCCTTGAGTTATAAAGTTAGGTTGTTTAGTTAAGATATTTCATTTTTGATGTAGGCATTTAACACAATGAACTTCCCTCTTAGTATATGGCTTTTGCTGAATTTCATAAGTTTAAGTAAATTGTGTTTTCATTTTTGTCTCAAGATATTTAAAAAATTCCCCATTTGATTTTCTATTTTGCCCAGTGGTTGTTCAAAAGCTGTGGTTTAATTTCCACGTGTTTGAGAATTTTCTAGTTTTGTTTTTGTTATTTCTAATTTCATTCCACTGTGATCTGAGAAGACACCTGATATGGTTTAAATCTTTTAAAACTTGTTGACTTGTTTTGTGATCTAACATATGACCTATTTAGGTTAATGTCCTATGTGTGCTTGAGAATAATTTGTATTCTGCTGCTGTTGGGGAAGAAGGTCTGTGTATATCTGTTAGGTCTCTTTGGTGTATAGTTTTGTTTAAATTAGCTGTTTCCTTATTGGAATTCTGCCTAGATGTTTTATCCATTATTGAAAGTGAGAGTATTGAAGTTTCCTATTATTATTGTATTATTGTCAATTTCTCCCTTTGGCTCTGTGCATGTTTATTTAATATATTTATGTGCTCTAATGCTGAATGCCCATATATTTATAATTGTTGTGTCTTCCTGTTGAATTGTTTTTTATAATTACATAACAACCTTCTTTGTCTTGTGACATTTTTTGACTAAAAGACTACGTTGTTTGATACATGTATAGCCACTCACATCTCTTTTTCTTACAATTTGCGTGGACTACCTTTTCCCAGCCATTTACTTTTAGTCTCTGTATGTCCTTATATCTAACATTAGTTTCATGTAGATTGTATATTGCTGGATATTGTATTTTTATTCATTTTGATTGGGAGTTTATTCATTTACATTTAAAATGATCATTGATATGTAAGGACTTGCTGTTGCCATTTTGTTCATTGTTTCCTTTTTGTCTTGCAGTTCTTTTTATTTTTTTTTTCCTATTTTGTTGTTTTGGTATTTGATGACATTTTTGGTGGTTTGGTTTGATTCATTTTATGTTATTTTTCATGTACCTACTGGAAATTCATGGTGTTCCTTTCATGTTATCATGTTTTCCTGATTCTTCATGATTCTTGTAGCTCTGCGTAGGTGTCTGTACATTTGAATAAGTAATTACTTCTTCCAGATTTTATGGACTAGCTTTGGTAAGGAAAGACCTTCACTTATAGGAAGGTAGAGGTAGGAAGGAGATGTGGGGTGGTGACTATGGGGTGTATGATGGAGCATACTATGGTAGCAAGTCTGATGGCATGGAGTGCCAAGTGTGGGAATGTGCAGTGATTCTACGTTTAGGAAGGCATGGTGGCTAGGGGGCTCAGGCCGTTAGTGTCAGTGGTATTAGCAACTTCGTGGTCCTCAGTGGCAAGAGACCCACTGTACTAGGTCTATAGTGGCTTTGAGAGCTGTTGGAGTCCTCAGCAGTGCCTCCAATTCTAGTTGTGGGTATACTTAGACCGGGGCTGAGGCAGGTCGCAGCAAGTGAGGGTCAGTGATGAACATGCATGTTGGTGAAAACCAGGGGCAGCGGTGGGCAAGTATGTGGCAGTAGGCACTGGTATGTGCAGTGTGTGCACAGTGATGGGAACTAGCTGTAGTATGCACCCAGTGTCAAGGGCTGGGATCAGTCAGAGGGGTTAGGGCTGATTGTTGGCATGGTTACAGTGGCAAAATCAGTGGTGAGTGCACAAGGCTACAGAGGTTGGAGCTGATGCCCTGTGATTGTGGTTGCAGGGGTCTGCTGCAGATGTATATGCTATGGTGGGACCAGCAGCTGGCATCAGGGCTGTCTGCATGTGCATAAGCTCTTGCGAGGACTGTGGCTGTGGTGTATGCGCATATAAAAGTGAGGGTTGGCAATATTGGTCAGAGCTGGTCATATGTATGCTTGGCTGTGGGTCCTGGACTCACAGTGTGTGTGTGTGCGCAAGGCAATGAGGACTGGTGGTTCGGGTTGACAGTAGATATGTACATGGTGGTATAGATGAGACTACTGATGGGACTGGGGTTGGTTGTGGAGCATATGGGGTGGCTGTACTCTGTCCAAGGCTAGGACACTTGTAGTGTGCTGACTGGGGTGGCCCTGGTAGAGGAGTGGGGACAGCAGCTCAGGTAGCGGGGCTCTGCAGAGGTGAAAAACTGCAGGATCCTTTGTGGCAAAAGATGTAGGGGTCTGTGGCAGCTGTGCTGGCTGTTGGGTTTCTCAGTGGTGAGAACTATTGGCTTCTCTGTGGAGCACACTTCTGGGGTCCTTGACAGCTCACATTGTGAGGTCTTTGATGGTGAACATAGTGAGTCTCAGTGGCTGTGATGGTTGTTGATGTCCTCAGCTGTGAAGTCTCCCGGGATCCTCTGTAGAGCACACCACTGGGGACCACAGTGGCACCTGCAGTATGGCTGACACTTATAGTGCACAACCTTCTTTGTTCCTAGCTGTCTCCAGATGTCTTGACTATTCCTATCTCCTTAGTAACCTGGGTGGGATAAAACCAAAGTGGTCCTTCAGGCAGTGCTCTGAAAAGGCTCTCCTTTTCCCTCATGAAGGAAACTTATGGACTCGGGGCTCCTTTTCAGTACTGAGCTGTGTGGACCTGGGGGATGGGATGATGCAGGCAAAAATAAAACTGTTCTTTCTACCCTTTCTGTGAGATTATTCTCATTTTTCTTCCCCACCACGTTGCTGCACCTTCTTAACTGAACTCCTGAGCTCTTCCGGAGGTATTTCCGTTTGTGGATAGCTGTCTAATTGTTGCTCTTATGGGTATACAAGGTCTAAAAGCTTTTCCTCCATCCTGCTGATGTCTTTATTCTTATTATTAAAAGCAAAATATATATTAATTTACCATTAAGAAAATGTTTATTTAATTTTTGTTTCTGCTTAAGTTTCCCAATGGTACTCCTAAAATCTTGTTAAATTTTTGTTGTGTGACTTTTTAGCAATATAAAAGAGTCAAATTGGGAAAAACAATAAAAGTAGCTGTGCACTAAAATTGTAAGAAAAAAAACCCATGTAATGAGAAGAGCCAGGACCTGGAGTAACAAGACCTGGCATTGAGTACAAGTGTATAATCTGGGGTATATACTTTATTTTTCAGGCCCACATGCTTCTAACCTGTAAAAAGTTTTTGAGGAGTATCAATTAAGAAGTTTTTGTTGTGAAAATGTGTTGTCAACTACAAATGGTTGTAAAAATATTAGTAAATGTTTTAAAGAAACATTCATATTAAAGCGTATTATACTTTTGAAGCTTTATTAAAATTACAGTATCTGATTCTCTATATATTTCACAGATTTTGATCTTCATATTGACAGCAATTTGGTTCTTATTACCACAAGTTGACAATTAAAAGTCCTTCAGTGAGTGTTTGTTATGTGAATAATTAGTGAATAGTGGATCCTATAAAGATATTTATCTTGTTTTTAAACATCTGAAAGTCTTTATTGCATATTTTAAATACAGGCACAGAATATTTTGGCTTGACTGGTTTTAGGTAATGGGCACTTAACTTCAGATTTTGACCCTAAGGTAATTTTGCTTTTTATTCAGAAGTCTAAAGCATTTTAATCAGAATTATGACAAAATTGTTTATTTTTGAGAAAATATTTGGAAGAAAATAATATTTTGGGTAATAAACATCATGTCAGTTTAATCTATTGATCAATTTCTGTACAGTTATCTATTCACAACTTTGCTATTTCACTTTACTGAAATTTTTATCAAAATATATTTTTTCTTTTAAAGTTTTTAACTGAGATTTGATACGCTGATTGTTTTGTCTCTATAAAATATTATTAGTTATAACTGCTGCTATTAGATATTTTTTGGTGATTATTATTTCTACAAAATCCAATATACTTGCACCAGATTTTATATATTATGATGTTACACATGAAATTTTATCTATTTACAATGTTATTTTTTTCCTGCTTATTTGTACTAGTTACATTCATCAAAAATTTAAAGAATGAATGTTTATATTTATCTCTCAGCTAGTCTTAGAAAAAACATACAGGGCAATTGCCTTCAGTTAGTTTAAATTGAGCCAATATCCAGGCTGGTTTCTTGTATAGATAAGCCAATTATTCCTTACTCTTTTTTCTTTTCTTTTTCTTTTTCTGTTTTTGAGACAGAGTCTCGCTCTGTCACCCAGGCTGGAGTGCAGTGGTGCGATCTCGGCTCAGTGTAGTGCAACCTCCGCCTCCTGGGTTCAAGCTATTCTCCTGCCTCAGCCTCCTGAGTAGTTGGGATTGCTGGTGCCCGCCACCACGCCTGGCTAATTTTTGTATTTTTAGTAGAGGGGTTTCGCCATGGTGGCCAGACTGGTCTCTAACTCTTGGCCTCAGGTGATCCACCTGCCTCGGCCTCCCAAAGTGCTGGGATTACAGGAGTGAGCCACCCACGCCTGGCCTACTCCTCATTCTTTTAATCCCTCTGTGTCCTGGCAATCTTTCCAATTCAGTTTTATTTCATTATGTATTTATAATGTGCCTTTTCTTTTTTGAAACCCTGCAAAATTTGTCAGCTCAATAAATATCATTTTAATAGACATTTAGAAATCATATATTTGGTAAGTCATCTGTGATTCCGAATAATATATGCTTAGCCTCTCTCCATTTCTTTGACTAGCTGTTAATATAAATTATATTATATGAAATATTAATGATAAAGTACTCAGTTGGTCATGAGATAACCAAATGAGGAATTCATAAAAACAAATGTGGAGTGTGTTTAGAGAACTGAAAAGATATTATATTATAATATAAAAAAGGAAATTTTAAATAAATAGAGTTTCAGGGAAAATATTCTAATACTAAAATCGTGCTATGAAATACCCTCCCATGGGAAGTGTGAAAACTTCAGTTATTCAAAACCAGCCTGGAAACAGCATTAAAAATATACCCCTGGGAGTGATTTCATACAGTGGTTGAGTTGACTAGGAGCCTGATAGGCCTTTACCATGTCTACTTTGTGTGACTTAAATAAAATGGCAACTTTTATATAGTATTTGCCATTGGAAAGTAAAATTTAAAAACCATGTGAATAGTGCAAGTAACATGATTCTTTTCATAAAATACAGTCACACTTTACTAGTCTATTAAGTAGTAAGTGTAATGAGGACTTTCAAAGAATTTTGAAAATAAAAAGTGTTTTAAGTGTTGTCAGTCTCTATTACATATTTTTATTCACACATATTACTTGTCTGGGAAAATAATTTTGTAAAATAAAAAGTGTGAAAAAGGGCTAACATAATGAAAATGAAAAAAAAATAAGAGGGAAAGCAGAAAACATCTGCTAAGCACTTTAAATGGCATCAGACTTTAACAGGACCAGTTCAATATTTACTAACATTAAAATAAAAAAATCCAGATGTTTTTGAATGTGTTAAAGAAGTAAAAAAATTACTATCTTTTTAAAATGAATACTGGTAGCATTGTAATTTTGAATATCTCATGTAATAAATACTTCACTGGTTGAACTTTTGATATCTGCTTCATAATATTTCAGTTTGTTATTGAAAATAAGTAAACATACCTGAAAGATAATGACGTAAACCGCAACTTCAAAAGTTAATAGTAGTTTAATCAACATATATTTCTATGATATTTGTTATATCATATTTCTTAAAAAATGGAAGTACAAGGTACTTTAAAAACAAAACCCCATAAAATGTCCACATTTGTACATTTTTATGATTCTCTTGAGTCATCTAAATATTTTTTAATTGCTAAAAATAGCCAAGAACATGAAATCATTCTGTTCTTTTACATTCATTACTATGTAAGACAACAAAGGTAATTTAGTTATTATTCTGTTCCAGGCTCTTTTTATTAAATTCTCACAAAAACTGAGATGGGTACTTTATTATCTCAATTTTATTCAAGTTAGGAAGGTGTCTTAGTTTATTTATGTTGCTATAGAGGAATACCTGAGGCTGAGTAATTTATAAAGAAAAGAGGTTTATTTGGCTCAGGTTCTGCAGGCTGTACAAAAAACATGGTGCCAGCATCTGCTTCTGGCCTCCTGCTGCTCCCACTCATGGAAGATGAAGGGGAGCCAGTGTGTGCAGAGATCACATGGCAAGAGAGGAAATAAGAAAGAGTGAGAAGGGAGGTGCCAGGCTCTTTTAAACAACCAGCTCGCAAGGGAACGAATAGAGTGAGAACTCACTCAAATCCCCCCACCTACCACAAGAGAGTGCGTTGATGTACTCATGAAGGATCCTCCCCTATGTCTCAAACAACTCCCATTAGGCTTCCAACTCCACTATTAATAGAATAATATATTAACATGAAATCTGCAGGGGCAAACATCCAAACTGTAGCACAAGATGAGACATAAAACAGTCAATTAACTTGCCAAACTTATCATAGTAAGTTACAAAGACTTAATTGAAACCTAGGCATTCTGAATCCAGAGATTATTTTCTTAATTATGAATGGCCAAAGCCTTTTAAATATGGCAGTTCTATTGTGTCTGGGATATATAGAATTAACACAACAGAATAGTAATATATTTTGTGGTAATTTGTATAATTAATTTGAGGGCACTTTTAGGTGTAATTGGTTAATACTGTCTTCTAAGTAAGTGTCCTATTGTAGCCATAGTTTAGTCTTACTTTCATTCCTAAGTGCCTAGTACAATGTCATTATTTAATACTGTGAATACCTAATACATGTATGTTGAATACCTAATACATGTATGTTGAATACATTATTAATTATACAGTGTTGTTATCTAATACTGTGAATACCTAACACATAAATGTTGAATAAATTATGCATTGAAATTTCTCAGTAAAATTTGCTCAAAGAAAAGAAGGGGGAGCAATATTTGAGAGTGAATTTTATTTTGTGGAGGATAGTTTTAAAAAATTGATTAAACTTTTAATTTTGGGATATTTGAAGATTGACATGCCGCTGGGAAAATAATAGCTATAATAGTAATGATGATAATCACACTAACATACACTCTTTACCTGGTTTCTCCCAATGTGATACCATCTTATAAACTATACAAAAAAAATAAAGAAATTGACATTGATGCAATCCGCTCATCATATTCAGATTTCCCAGTTTTAGATGTATCCATTTGTGTATGTGTATTTAGTTTTATTCAATACATGTGTAGGTTCATGTAACTACCTTCACAGTCAAGATAAAATAGTTTCATCAGTACTAGGATTCCTATTGCAATTTTAGAACCAGACCCATCTTTCTCCACTGCACCCTTACTTCTTTAACCTCTAACAATGCTAATCAGTTCTCCATCTTTATAATTTTACCATTTGGAATGTTATATGAATAGAATCATATAGTATATCACCTTTTAGGATGGGCTTTAAAAAAAACTGAGTATAATTTCCTGGAAGCATATCAAATTTGTTGCATATATTAATACTTCATTCCTTTGTATTGCTGAATAGTATTCCATGGTATGAATGTGCCACTGTGTGTTTAGCCTTTCACTCACTGAAAGACATCTGAGTTTTTAGCCATTACAAATAAAGCTGATATGAACATTTGTAGATTTTGCATGAACATAAATATTATTTCTTTGGGATAAATGTCCAAGATTGCAACTGCTAGGCCATATGGTAATTGTATATTTTGTTTTATAAGAAATTGCCAAACTGAGGCTGGGCATGGTGCCTCATGCCTCTAATACTGGCACTTTGAGAGGCTGAGGCAGGAGTATTACATGAGGCCAGGAGTCTGAAACCAGCCTGGGCAACATATCGAGGACCTGTCTCTACAAAAATAAAAATAAAAATGTTAGCTGGGCAAGGTGGCGTGCATCTGTAGTCCCAACTACTCAGGAGGATTGCTTAAGTCCAGGAAGCTGAGGCTGCAGTGAACTATGATGGAATCACTGCACTCCAGCCTGAGAAACAGAGTGAGATCCTGTCTCTAAGGGGGGGCGGAGAAAAAAGAGGAAAAAAAATCCTGCCAAACAAATCCACAATGACTATTCTGTTTTGCATTTCTATAGCAATATATAAAGGATCCAGTGTCTCTGCATCCTTGCCAGTGTTCTTAATAGGAGTGAAAGTATATTAAAAAGTTTTAGAGCAGAAATGAAAGGAAGTAAAGTATAATTGGAAGAGGGCCAAGGGGGTGACTTGAGATATTTAAGTGAACGATTTGACTTGGGGTTTTATACATTGGCAGGCTTCCAGAGGGTTGCAGGTTTTCTCCCCCAATACTTCCCTTTTAGTGGGCTGTCCATACGCATAGTGGCCTGCCAGCACTTGGGAGGGGCCACATGTTCAGTGTGTTTACTGAAATTGCATGCATGCTCATTTGAGGCCTTTTGCTCTTACCAGTGTCCCTAGAGGAAGGTCATAAACCAGTTAAACTCTGCCATTTTGCTTCTTGGTGCACACGCTTGAGCCCACTTGCTCAAATCCTGAGTTCTTATCAGGAAGCTGCTGATCACCAGTTTCAGGTTTTGTTTTATTTTTTAAATCTATCAGGAGAATGCCTTTCCCCGTGCTAACTGCAACCAATTATTATTTCAGAGAGATAGTTTAACTACCACCTATCATCTGATGATTGCCTGACATTCCTGGTGGGGTGGAGGATCCTTTCTTGCCATGCTCATGTCTGACTAACTACCTCTAACATTTCCCCCTCAAGAGTCCAGGACCCCAATTCTGTGGGGAAAATGAGTGAGAGTTATTCTTCTGTAACTTCCTGCTGACAGAGTTGGAGTGATGGTTGTTTTGTGGATCTATTTTGTCTCTCTGATGGGAAGTCTAGTGGCCTTCTATAGAGGGTTAACTCTTGAATATTGAGAGGATGATATCCCTCACTGAGAATCATCTGGAGCTTAGTGGCCCAGTCCTCTTGTTTATTTTGAGCTGTAGCCAGAGATCACCTATATAAGAGGAATAAGCACAGTCATTCTAAATTGCAGACAAAAACTTAAAAACAACTGATGAGACTAGAATTTAATAATAGGTGTACCATAGTTCTTGAAACCTAATTATTTATTCTCTAGTCCTCATTTTTATCAAAAACAATATGATAGGACTGATTTGCAAAATAAGCTTTAGTCTTATTATACTTGGCCTGATTATTTGCATAAAGCACAAGAACAATTATTTGCTACATAGGCTCCTTTGAAAATTGGCTTTGATGAAACTTTGTTTCATAAGACATCTCAGATAAGACTTCTTATAGCCTTAAGTGCACCCATAGGTGTGTATTATTGAATACCTGTGGGAGTTAGGCAAATAGGCAAATTCCTCTCCTTTTGAGTTCCCAAGATAACTTGGGGCCCCTGAGCCTGTCAGAAAGTGACTTTTTTAGTTACTAAAAGTCAGGAACCCTGCACAGGGGCTGTGTAGACAAGGTATGAGGGCAATTTTCCAGAGGAGATTTTATTGACTCTATAGGTCAATTTTGATTCCTTAAAGCAGTGGTCCTCAACTTTTTTGGCACCAAGGACCAGTTTCATGGAAGACAATTTTTCCACGGGCCAGGTTGAGGGGGATGGTTTTGGGATAATTCAAGCGCATTACGTTTATTGTATACTTTGTATTATTATTAGATTATAATATATAATGAAATAATTATATAGCTCACCATAATGTAGAATCAGTGGGATACTTGAGCTTGTTTTTCCATAACTCCCCCATCTGGGGGTTATGGGAGACAGTGAGAGATCACCAGGCATTAGATTCTCATAAAGGATGCGCAACCTAGATCCCTTGCATGCAGAGCTCACAATACGGTTTGCGCTCCTGTGAGAATCTAATGCTGCCACTGATCTGACAAGAGGCAGAGCTCAGATGAGAATGTGACTGATGGGGGGTGGCTGTAAATACAGATGAAGTTTTGCTTGCTTGCCCACCACTCATATCCTGCTGTGCAGCCCAGTTCCTAACAGGCCATGGACTGGTACTGGTCCATGGACCAGTGATTGGGCACCCCTGCCTTAAAAGAAAGCACACCATCCCAGTTAAAGCCTTGGTAAAATAACTAGTTTCTGCAATTATGTCCTGTTTTAAAAGAAAACAGTTTCTTATTGCACATATGCCAATAACTATATTGCCATGAGTTAAGAATACTCACAGTTTCCAAACTTTGGAGAAATCTGGTAGAGAGAAATATGCTCCAAATTTTGCCTAAAGGAATGTACCTTACACAATTTTTAAAAGCTGTACATATCTCAAAATAAAAGTTTTCTTGACTCTGAAAAACAAAGGATCAGCAAAATTTTAAGCAAAAAGTCAAAAAAGATTACTTTGGTCTTTGATTAGGTTAGTCTATATAATTAATTCCTGTTTTGCTTGATATTTATGAACACATTAGTTTTCCAAGAGAGTCTTGGAATTTTCTCTCCATTTTAATGTCACAGTCTCCAAAGTTATATGAAACCTGCATTCAAAAGCACCTGTTAGAGTACTATAGCTGATTATAAAACCACCTTTTAAAGAGGATGAAAACAAGACAATAGATGACAAAAAGTCTTAGGGTAGCCACAGTAAAAAACACAATAGATAAGGAAGTTTGGTTACCTTTGTGGCACACAATAATTTTACATAAGAATTATAATTATTACTGATAATGTATACTAAATCATATCAGAATTACAGGAGTTTTGCACAATTTTGGAACACATACCAACAACATATTTATACAAATATAGTCCAAAGGAAGCCAGATTTTACCTTTGCATTAGTGTACTATTGATGGTAAACCCAATTCTTAATAAAATCTTACAGACAAATCTATCCAATCTTAATCAGTTTGACCATAAGGTAAGGTTCTCATAAACCTTTCATATTTTTTTTTTGACAATTTATTTTTGGTTAAAGAGCAGATTAGTGCTTTAATAAAATTCTGTTATGCTTTTATTCCAATGTTCAATTTGTAAATAAACTGAGTAATACCCTTTTAATTTTAGCTAATATGTTCACACACAGAATTCCTTTTTATTTTTTTTAACAAGACATTTATTCTCAGCAGCAGGAAATAATGAATTAGCCCCTCCATCTTCATTTACATTGCTAAGGGAAACATGACAGGATGTGGGAACCCAGCATAGAAATGAGGGGCCGTGGCTTGGGCACCCCATCACCCACATTTCCCTCACATCTCCCATGTCCTCTCAAGCAGCACAGGACAGTGCCAAGCAAACCCATTTATCCTTTCCCATTCCTTCCCAGAAACTTGACAGTGATGCCTAGCGTAGCACATGTGTCCTTCCTTAGATTGTTCCCCTGCTTCCTCTCCCCAATACCTGGCAGCAGAAAATGCAAAAGATCTTTTGAATATTTGCCCATTTCAGAAAGCCACACTATCACCACATAAATTTCAAAAAATAAATTCAATGAAAACATTGTATTCATTGAGTTGACACTTGATCTCCACGTCAGGAGTTCTCTAAGCATATTGTTGAAAACCAGCATCATGGCCAGGCGTGGTGGCTCATGCCTGTAATCCCAGCACTTTGAGAGGCTGAGGCAGGCAGATCATTTGAGGTCAGGAGATTGAGACCACCCTGGCCAGTATGGTGAAAGTGAAACCCTGTCTCTACTAAAAATACAAAAATTAGTCAGGTGCGGTGGCATGCACTTGCAGTCCCAGCTACTTGGGAGGCTGAGGCAGGAGAATCACTTGAATCTGGGAGGCAGAGGTTGTGGTGAGCTGAGATCATGCTACCACACTGCAGCCTGGGTGACAAGAGTGAGACTCTGTCTCGAAAAACAAACACACAGCAACAACAACAACAACAAAACAATGTCACGTCCCTAGGATCCTTTCTTCCAACTGGTTACTCATCCTCTGAATCGTTTTAGTAGTGCCTTTGTAACAATGTTTTCAAAACATCTTCCAAGTCTCCTAGTTCTATGAAGGTTGTCACTAAATGAGTGCGGGTTTTGGGAAAGAGCTGACTTTAGTTGAAAAAGCAGAGGAAACCTCAGACATTGCACAGTGTTAGGCATTAGCCTTACCACTCTTGTAAGCCTCCTCAATTAATGTCTCAGGTCTACTTGGTGTGGACTCCAAGGTCCTTCCCAGCCCCATGAGCCATCCATCAGGGTGAGCTGAGAGATCAGCCAGGGAGAACAGAGCCACTTTGGCTGAGAGGAATGTTTTTTGGGGTTGGTTAGTAAGAAGGACAGTAAAATGGGAGAAGGAAACTGCATTTGGGGGTTGAACGCCTCCAGCAGAAGCAGGCGAGGCATAGAGATGTCTTACCACTAGGGAACATATCTGAGTTACATGGCACCAAAGTATGTCAACAGTGGCAAATCTGTATGGGTCTGCAGCAACCTCAGTTCTTGCCTCCTCAGAAGAAAGAATTCAACCGAGGCATAAAGCACAGTGAGAGACCAAGGCAAGTTTTAAAGCAGGAGTGAAAGTTTATTAAAAGTTTTTAGAGGAGAAATGAAAGGAAATAAAGTACACTTGGAAGAGGGCCAAGTAGGTCACTTGAGAGGTTCAAGTGTGTGTTTGACCTTTGACTTGGGGTTTTATACATTGGCAGGGTTACAGAGGGTTGCAGGTCTTCTCCCCCAATACTTCCCTTTTACTGGGCTGTCCACACGCATAGTGGCTTGCCAGCACTTGGGAGGGGCCATATGTGCAGTGTGTTTACTGAAGTTGTACCCTTGCTCACTTGAGGCCTTTTCCTCTTACCAGTCAAGGGTTCCTGGAGGAAGGTCATAAACCAGTTAAACTATGCCACTTTGCCTTTTAGTGCACATGCTTGAACCCATTTGCCCAACTCCTCAGATCTTATCAGGAGGCTGCTGATCACCAGTTTCAGGTTTTGTTCTGTCTGTTGGGAGACTGCCTTTCCCTGGTGCTGACTGCAACCAATTATTATTTTAGAGAGACAGCTAACACCACCTGATCATCACCTGATAGTTGCCTGACATTCCTAGTGGGGTGGGGGACCCTCTCATGTGCTGCTTATGTCTGACCAACTACATACCCAAAACAGAGGTTCAGATAGTACATATTTTTGGCTTTGTGGTCACTGTCACAACTGTTCAATTCTGTTGTTATCATGAAAAAGCTGTCATAGACAATTCATGAAGAGTGTGGCTGTATTCCATTTATATTTTAGTTACAAAAACATATCATAGTTTGTATTTCATTTAGGCTGCAGTATGCCAACCACTCGTTTAAAGAAACAAGTCAAAATTGACATAAAATCTCATTTTTGAGATGATTGAATATTCAGTATTTTCTAAATATTGTATATAATGTTTAATATGCTAAAGGCATTGCTATCATCTTAGTCACTATTTCTCACCTAATGTATGGAACCAAAGGGAAACACTCTTTTATATCCATAATAGTTATTTAAATTATGTTTACTATGTTGAAACATAGAAATAGGTATTTCTTTAGTTTACAGCTCATATATATTTATATAACCAAAATACAATACAAATAAAATTAACAATAATAGTGTTAATTTGATTTAATGAATATCTTGTTAAAAATACATTACTTTCCTCAAGATGAAATGATAGATTTATTTGTTAACTGATTTTATTTTGAGATGGAGTCTTGCTCTGTTGCCCAGGCTGGAGTGCAGTGGTGTGATCTTGGCTCACTGCAAACTCCTCCTCCTGAGTTCAGGTGATTCTCCTGCCTCAGCCTCCCAAGTAGCTGAGATTACTGGTGCGCACCACCACACCCAGCTAATTTTTGTATTTTTAGTAGAGATGGGGTTTTGCCATGTTGGCCAGGCTGGTCTTGAACTCCTGATCTCAGGTGATCCACCCCCCTCGGCCACCCAAAGTGCTGGGATTACAGGTGTGAGCCACCATGCCCGGCCTTTTTATTTTTAATTTTTAAAAAATCTTTATGGGTACAGAGTAAGTGTATATATTTATGGGGTACATTAGATATTTTGATAACGTCATTCAATTTTTAATAACCACATCAGGGTAAATGGGGTATCCATCACCTCAAGCATTTATTATTTCGTTGTGTTACAAACATTCCAATTATACTCTTTTATTTATTTTAAAGTGTACAATAAATTGTTGGCTGTAATTATCCTGTTGTTATCAAATAGATTTAGTATGTGATACTCGTTCCTTTAAAGCAACGACTACTTATAATTTCACATGACTGTGTGATAACTTTTTTCTTTTTGAAATACTTTAATGCCTTGTTCATTTAACATTGATAATGAAATTTAGTCTTCACTTGGAAGAAATTCATTAGTTATATATAAATGTTTATTTTCTTATTAGCCTCTGACAACCTCTTAATTTTAATATGATTATCATGAACAGAAACTGGGTGCTGAATTTATGAAGTAGCTCACAGGTTTAGGATGATTTTCAGATGGCCCAGTATATACTTAAATATTTTACCTTATAAATTAAGATATAAAATTTAAAATATATCTTAATAATAACCCTGTAAATATAATCATGAAACACCATACAGGAGATGGAGATTTTGAATCTTTCCCTTCAAAAGCTGACAGTACAGTATTTTGTGAAAATAATGCATGTAAAAGTATATGTCTGGGCTTTTGATAAAATGAGAATCTGTAATTTACCTACAGATATTTGCTTTGGTATTATTATTTTATTCTGAAAGGTTCACATGGAATCTTTATCAGATCTGAATTTTAGCTAATGCTACGATGTTGTTATAAGATATAACTTAGTGCATTTTTATATTATTTAACAATTTTCATTGGATACCTACTACATGCTAATATCCGAAGTAAGAATAAATGTAATAATTGGTCCTTGCCCTGGAATAGTTTATTATCTAGGTTAGGAAACAAGATATTCACACTAAATTGGTAATATCAGTAGTTAACACTTATCAGATTCTTACCATTGTTCAGTTTTTATTCTAGGTTCTTTACATATGTTAAATCATGTAATCATATACAAAACTTTGTAAGACAGGTACTGTTATTTTTCCTTTTTTATAGAAGTTACAAAATCACAGAGAATTTAGATAACTTGCCCAAGATTGCACAAATAACAAGTGGTACCATTTAAACTAGTCAATGTGATTCAGTAGCCCATGCCTTTAAAACTTAGTATTGTTTCTTCTAGAAGGAGATAATATCAGGTTCGTTGTTCAGGGTCAAGCTTTAAGTCATATTATTTTACAAGTTCCATTTTTACCATTTTATTAAACCCATTTGCCAAACAATTAGTACATTAACACAACCATTTTTGGTCATTATATAATTGAAGAAATTATTTGCCATTATAATGCTCACATTTGATGACATATTTAGGAAAAGCCTCTTCTACTTAAACATCTTCAACTTTATTTTGGGAGACTTTCTGAATAACTGCCCTAGACTGGACTGGAAAGAGAGTTGCATTTAATGTGGAGATTTTATTTCCTGACTGGTCATGTAGACACACAAAAAGAGTCAAGAAAATAATGTATTATGATCAAATAAGCCTACAAGACTTGGAAATTATTTGGATTATAATGATGTATTCTAAAGGATGTTTCTATATGTAAGGCAATTTTAGTTGTTGATACTTCCAACATTTCTGAATTAATCCAGTCAGGAATGAGTGATTTTTTTTCTCCCAGTAACTTCAATAATAATTAATGGGACGTAAATTTGATGTGAAAAAGTTTTTCAGTAGATGTATGTTACTTATTGAATATAAATTTTCTAAATAAGTCCAAGTAACCCCTTTGTCATTCATGGCTCAATAATTTAGGCTTTAACAAATTTAATTAATTTATTTATTTTTATTATACTTTAAGTTCTGGGATACATGTGCAGAACGTGCAGGTTTGTTATATAGGTATACATGTGCCATGGTGGTTTGCTGCATCCATCAGCCTGTCATCTACATTAGGTATTTCTCTACACATATCCCTCTGATTGTCCCCCACCCCTGAACAGGCCCAAGTGTGTGATGTTCCCTTCCCTGTGCCCATATGTTCTTATTGTTAAACTGCCACTTATGAGTGAGAACACGCAGTGTTTGGTTTTCTTTTCCTGTGTTAGTTTGCTGAGAATGATGGTTTACAGCTTCATCCATGTCCCTGCAAAGGACATGAACTCATTCTTTTTAATGGTTGCATAGTATTCCATGATGTATACACATTTTTTTTATCCAGTCTAACGTTGATGGGCATTTGGGTTGGTTTCATGTCTTTGCTATTGTGAATAGTGCTGCAGTAAACATATGTGTGTGTGTGTCTTTATAGTAGAATGATTTATAATCCTTTGGGCATATACCCAGTAATGGGATTGCTGGGTCAAATGGTATTTCTAGTTCTAGATCCTTGAGGAATTACCACACCGTCTCCCACAATGGTTGAGCTAATTTATACTCCCACCAATAGTGTAAAAGCATTCCTACTTCTCCACATCCTCTCCAGCATCTGTTGTTGCCTGACTTTTTAATGATTGCCATTCTAACTGGCTTGAGATGGTATCTCCTTGTGGTTTTGATTTGCATTTCTCTAATGACCAGTGATGATGTGCTTTTTTTCATATGTTTGTTGGCCGCATAAATGTCTTCTTTTGAAAAGTGTCTGTTCATATCCTTTGCCCACTTTTTGTTGGGGTTGTTTTTTTCTTGTAAACTTGTTTAAGTTCCTTATTGATTCTGGATATTAGACTTTGTCAGATGGATAGGTTGCAAAAATTTTCTCCCATTCTGTAGGTTTCCTGCTCACTCTGATGGTAGTTTCTTTTGCTGTGCAGAAGTTCTTTAGTTTAATTAGATCCCATTTGTCAATTTTGACTTTCGTTGCCATGGCTTTTGGTGTTTTAGTCATGAAGTCTTTGACCATGCCTATGTCCTGAATGGTATTGCCTAGGTTTTCTTCTAGGGTTTTTATGGTTTGAGGTCTTATGTTTAATTCTTTAATCCATCTTGAGATAATTTTTTTAAAAGGTGTAAGGAAGGGGTCTAGTTTCAGTTTTCTGCATATGGCTAGCAGGGTTTCCCAACAGCATTTATTAAATAGGAAGTCCTTTACCCAGTGCTTGTTTGTGTCAGGTTTGTCAAAGATCAGATGGTTGCAGATGTGTGGTGTTATTTCTGAGGGCTCTGTTCTGTTCCATTGGTCTATATCTCTGTTTTGGTACCAGTACCATGCTGTTTTGGTTACTGTAGCCTTGTGGTATAGTTTGAAGTCAGGTAGCATGATGCCTCCATCTATGTTCTTTTTGCTGAGGATTGTCTTGGCTCTATGGGCTCTTTTTTGATTCCGTGTGAAATTTAAAGTTTGTTTTTTTTTTCTAATTCTGTGAAGAAAGTCAATGGTAGCTTGATGGGAATAGCACTGAATCTACAAATTACTTTGGGCAGTATGGCCATTTTCACGATATTGACTCTTCCTATCCATGAGCATGGAATGTTTTCTCATTTGTTTGTCTTCTCTCTTTTTTCCTTGAGCAGTGGTTTGTAGTTCTCCTTGAAGAGGTCTGTCACATCCCTTATAAATTTTATTCCTAGGTATTTTATTCTCTTTGTAGCAATTGTGAGTGGGAATTTGCTCAAGATTTGGCTCTGTTTGTCTATTATCAGTGCATAGTAATGCTTTTGATTTTTGCACATTGATTTTGTATCCTGAGACTTTGCTGAACTTGCTTATCAGCTTAACGAGATTTTGGGCTGAGACGATGAGGTTTTCAAAATATAAAATCATGTCATCTGCAGACAGAGTCAATTTGACCTCTTCTCTTCCTATTTGAATACACTTTATTTCTTTCTGTTGCCTGATTTCCTGGCCAGAACTTCCAATACTATGTTGAATAGGAGTACTGAGAGAGGATGTCCTTGTCTTGTGCCGGTTTTCAAAGGGAATGCTTCCAGCTTTTGCCCATTCAGTATGATATTGGCTGTGGGTTTGTCATAAATAACTCTTATTATTTTGAGATATGTTCCATCAATACCTGGTTTATTGAGTGTTTTTAGCATGAAGGAGTGTTGACTTTTTCGAAGGACTTTTCTGCATCTATTGAAAGAATCAGGTGGTTTTTTTCATTGGTTCTGTTTATGTGATGGATTATGCTTATTGATTTGGGTATGTTGAAGCAGCCTTGCATCCCAAGGATGAAGCTGACTTGATCGTGATGGATAAGCTTTTTAATGTGCCGCTGGACTCAGTTTGCTAGTATTTTATTGAGAATTTTTGCATCAATGTTCATCAGGGATATTGGCCTGAAATTTTCTGTTTTTGTTGTGTTGCTGCCAGGTTTTGGTATAAGGGTGATTCTGGCCTCATAAAATGAGTTAGCGAGGAGTCCCTCTTTTTCTATTGTTTGGAAGAGTTTCAGAAGGAATGGTACCCGCTTGTACCTCTGTTATAGTTTGGCTATGAATCTGTCTGGTCTTGGCCTTTTTTTGGTGGGTAGGTTATTAATTACTGCCTCGATTTCAGAACTTGTTATTGGTCTATTCAAGGATTTGACTTCTTCCTGTTTCAGTCTTGGGAGGGTGTATTTTTCCAGGAATTTATCTATTTCTTCCAGGTTTTCTGGTTTATTTGTATAGAATTGTTTATAGTATTTTCTGATGGTAGTTTGTATTTCTTTGGGATCAGTGGTGATATCCCCTTTACCATTTTTTATTGTGTCTAGTTGATTCTTCTTTCTTTTCTTCATTAATGCGGCTATTGGTCTATCTGTTTTGTTAATCTTTTCAAAAAACCAGCTCCTGGATTCATTGATTTTTTGAAGGGTTTTTTATATCTCTATCTCCTTCAGTTCTGCTCTGATCTTAGTTATTTCTTGTCTTCTGCTAGCTTTTGAATTTGTTTGCTATTGTTTCTCTAGTTCTTTTAATTATGATGTTAGGGTGTCGATTTTAGATCTTTCCTGCTTTCTCCTGTGGGCATTTACTGCTATAAATTGCCCTCTAAATACTGCTTTAGCTGTGTCCCAGAGATTCTGGTATGTTATGTCTTTGTTCTCATTGGTTTTAAATAACTTAATGATTTGTGCCTTAATTTCATTATTTACCTAGTAGTCATTGAGGAGCAGGTTGTCAGTATCCATGTAGGTGTGGAGTTTTGAGTGGGTTTCTTAATCCTGAGTTCTAGTTTGATTGCACTGTTGTCTGAGAGACTGCTTGTTATGATTTCTGTTCTTTTGCATTTGCTGAGGAGTGTTTTGCTTCTAATTATGTGGTCACTTTTAGAATTAGTGCTATGAGGTGCTGAGAAGAGTGTATATTCTGTTGATTTGGGGTGGAGGGTTCTGTAGATGTCTATTAGGTCTACTTGGACCAGAGCTGAGTTCAAGTCCTGAATATCCGTGTTAATTTTCTGTCTTGTTGATCTGTCTGATATTGACAGTGGGGTGTTAAAGTCTCCCACTATTATTGTGTGGGTGTCTAAGTCTCTTTGTAGGTCTCTAAGAACTTGCTTTATGAATCTGGGTGCTCCTGTGTTAGTTGCATATATATTTAGGATAGTTAGCTCTTCTTGTTGCATTGATCCCTCTACCATTATGTAATGCCCTTCTTTGTCTCTTTTGATCTTTGTTGGTTTAAAGTCTGTTTTATCATGCACTAGGATTGCAACCCCTGCGTTTTTTAGTTTTCCATTTGCTTGGTAGATCTTCCTCCATCCCTTTATTTTGAGCCTATGTGTGTCTTTGCACGTGAGATGTGTCTCCTGAATACAGCACACTGATGGGTCTTGACTCTTTATCCAATTTGCCAGTCTGTGTCTTTTAATTGGGGCATTTAGCCCATTTATATTTAATGTTAATATTATTATGCCATTATGATGCTAGCTGGTTATTTTGCCCATTAGTTGATGCAGTTTCTTCATAGTTCAATGGTCTTTACAATTTGGTTTGTTTTTGCAGTGGCTGTTACTGGTTTTTCCTTTCCATATTTCATGCTTACTTCAGGAGCTTTTGTAAGGCAGGCTTTTTGTTTCTCTAAGTCGAAGTCACTTAATTCACAGCATATCATAATTCAGCAATTGTTTGTCTCCACAACAACTAATGCTATAGAATCTAAGTGCTTATAAATTAATATCTTAATAACCCTAATAAAATTATATGGTCTTATTGATTTTTGTGTCTCTTTCACTGTTACTGTAATACTGAAAGTATATGATGTGTTTGGTTATAATTCTCATGGACAAAATGACATAGAGTTGACTCCTTAAATGAGTGGCTTCTTTCAGTAGTTTTAAAACTAAAAGTCATTTCTGGAGGCAGTAGAAATGATCAGAATGATAAAATGAGAGGAAAAATGGAATGTGTTTTAATAAAACATGAACATTTATTAATATATGTTTTCTGCCTTAAGTTATATATCAAAATTTTAATTAGATATGTGTATAAACTGAAAATATGTAATAAATGTATTTTATGTTACATAGCTTAAGCAAGCAATTGTTCTAAAATGTTTATTGATTCTTTGCAATTTTTTAAATTTAGTTGGCCAGTTTTAATGAGTGCCTACTACCACTTTTATTTGATTCAAAAATGCCTTGTCCTCAAATTTTAACATTGTGAAATTAAAGTACATTGTTTAATCTACATTAACATTGCAGTCTCATTGCCAAAACTTTGGTAAAGCAGTGAGTAGCCTTGTGGTTCCCATTGCCTGCAGTCTTAACAATGGGTACCTGCATATTTATCTAATTGTCAACTTAGCTAGATTATTTGCAAATTGGTAACCAAAGAGAAGATTGAATTTTAATTTAATTTGGAATCATAATTGCAGCACCAAATTCATACAAACTATTACATTGGAATGCAACATTAAAATGAAAAGTATTGAGTGCAGAAGAGCATAATATAGATTTGCAAAATGAAAATTTATTATGAGTAGAGCAAATATTTGTTAATGGAACATTATATCCATATTTTTATACCATGAACCAAGTAATTTTTGTACTTAGAGAAAAAGACACAAAAAGATAAAGCTGAGTTTTATTTTGTTATTGAGACATTTACAAAAGAATTTCTGGTCACACTCCAGGCGATGCAATTAAAGAGAAGAAATTGCCAAATCTCTTGGAACAGATCACAGAATTTTCAAAACTAGGAAAGTTTTATGTGATGACTCCTATATCATGAAAATCTATCCCTCAGATGCTGAGCATGTAAGTTTCAAAGGCTTCCAGCTAACTTCTAATAGAAACTGTTAACTACCAGGGATGCATAAGTCTTATAAGGAGAAAAGGAAAGTTTCAATTTAAATAAATAGAAAATGTAAATGAAATCTTGATATTATTTGATATGCCAAAAACTATACAGTCAATTCTAATGTGCTAAAGTGGTCAGGGTCATGAACATGGGCTATAGTATAAAAAGCAGTATTTCTCTGTTAAGTAACTGTGTATACCTGGAAATGATTCAAAAGAAGATTTGAATTATGGGTTATTGAAAACATTTCTATATTCTCCAGGGGAAGGTAACTTCATTACATATCTAATATCCAAAAGGCCTCTAGCCTATAAAGAGACATCTTACTTTTCTCCTGAAACCAGCTGGTAATTCCAACAATGAGAGAGAGAGAGCTACAGCAATGCATAAAGGAAGCGTGAGAAGATGCTGAGAGAGAAGGGTGAGATAAGTATGTGGTCTTCAATGATTTAAAGTCTGATGGCATAGGAACCAGCAAAAAGAGGCTGAAAAGGGGTAGGCAGAGAAAAGGGAGGGAAATTGATGAAATGTAGTGTCATGGAAGTGAAGCAAAAATAATGTTTCAAGAAGGAGGCAGTGATCAATTCTGTCAAATGCTGCTGCTGAAATATTAATTACAATGAAGGCTGAAACAAGTCCACTGAATTTACATATAAGTAACTCACTGAAACTTGAGGAAAGTGGTTTTCATGGAGTAGTTTGGCCAAAGACAGATTAGATTGTTCTAAATAGTTAATGGGACAAAAAAAGTGGAGACTTAATTTAAATAACTATTCTGATATGTCTAAATGTGCAGAGGTTATGAGCTGAAGGAGCACTTGGAAGTATGAGTTGTCTTTTATTTTTAATTTTTTAGATGAAAAAATTCAAAGATAAAGTTAGGGAGGAATATACTAGCCCACTGTGGTTCCAACTACAGGTCCTAACTTATTTGTTTGTTGTAACATTAATTTAACGAGTGGTGTCCATTCAAAAAAAAAAAAAAAAAACCAGAAAACATCAGCGTATCATGGTATCATGCATAGTAAGGTAATGTTATATTATGGATCTTTGTTTTGGTTATTTATATAAATTTTTGACTGCAAACAGAAGTGCATTTTATATGTTATATACATGATACTTATATATGATACATATGTAATATACATGTGTAATATGTATATATTAGGTTGCAGCAATAATATATTTTTTTTTGTTGTGGGTCACAGTAAAACAAAAAAAGAAATACTCTTTGACAGCAAAAGAATTAAATGTTGGCATAGATTCTGGAGAATGTGGGAGGGGCTTGGACTCAGATTACACATAGAAGAGTTAGCCTTCAAAAGGAAGAGAGATGGCTGGGTGAAGTGGCTCATGCCTGTAATCCCAGCACTTTGAGAGGCAGAGGCAGGTGGATTACCTGAGATCAGGAGTTCGAGACTAGTTGGCCAATATGGTGAAACCCCGTCTCTACTAAAAAATACAAAAATTAGCTGGGCATGGTGGCAGGTGCCTGCAATACCAGCTACTCGGGAGGCTGAGGCAGGAGAATAACTTGTACCTGGGAGGTGGAGGTTGCAGTGAGCTGAGTTCAGTTCAGTGCACTGCAGCCTGGGCGACAGAGCAAGACTCCATCTCAAAAAAAAAAAACCAAAAACACATATATATGGAAATATGTGTATATTTGTGTCAGCAGGGCAGGAGGAAAAGTTTGGTACAGATGTGACTATCAAATTTGGCAGCATAATGTTTAAAGAATTCCTGTCTGATTGCTCTAATCATTTTAGTTAAGTATAATACAATCATCTGTTGAGAGTAAAGGGCATAGAGAGGATATCATGACATATAAGAATGGAGGAATTTTGAAACACTCTACATAGAAGTTGATAACAATGATTAGAGAATTATATTAAGATGGGTATAGGTGAGGTTGTTCATTAAATTTATAGAAATGTCAATCCATTTAGGAGTGTTCAGCTGTCTAAGCATAGGTGGGCACCGACCACAGAGATTGTTGGATTCTAGATGGAGGCTTAGATTAGAAAGAACAAATTGACAAGGAAGGTTAGTGTATTATTAACAAAATGATTGAAATTAAATACTGTGGATTAATTAAAAGTACAAGGAGTCTGATATTTTGAAAGAAAGCACAGACGTCAATGGAGCTACAGCCTAAAGAGATTGAAGAACAAATGGGCTCTTGAGCAGTAAATGGAAGTTTTCATAAGAGGGGAATGTTTGTAACTTTGGAAGTGGAATTTTTTTTTCAGTGATAAGTTATAAGAGATCAGCAAAGATGATGTAATATAGCATTAATGATGAGGAAGTCATAGAACCATTAAAATATGATATTGGATACATTGTCTATGAGGACATTGAAGTTCCTAAAATGATAGCAAGAATAGAAAAGGAGAGAAATACCCTGAGTTGGGATACCAAAATTTGCAGTAAATGAGATAAATTGGCTAGTTTTATAGATGACAACAAAAAGGGAAATGAATAGTTTAAGAAGCTGGAAGAGCTTTTGTAGAGTTGGGCAGCAATGAGAACTCTAGTCCTATTTCTAACCCACGAGCTACCTAAGATGAAGATATTGCCTAAGAATATCAGTTCTGGATTCAGACTGCCTGGATTCCATTGTTAATTTCATCTCTCTTTACTTCTGTGACTTGAGAAAGTTACCTAATGTCTCTTTGTCTCAGTGTCACAGCTGTAAAATGTGGATGAAATGACCTAATCCATCGCATTGTAGTGATAATTTAATGAATTAAATTCATAAAATTTATTTATGAAATAAGTTTGTATATATCACTGGTATAGTGCTTGAACATAGAAATTGTACAGTAAATGTTAGCTATTATTTGTATTATTTTCTAGAATGATGAAGAATAAATAGGCTCTACTTGAGAGAGCTGTAGAAGTTTTCTCAGTCGTCATCCATTTTTTTTTTTCTTTTTTAGCAAAGCGAACGTTTGGGGAAGCTTGTAGGGTTGTGGGGATTTACTAGTTTTATAGAAAGAGTTTCAGAATCCAGTGGAATTGTTATAGAGGGAAAGGAGAAGGGAGTGTGATGGCAGGTCAGGGAACAGACATATTGAGAATAATGGGGATGAGAATAGAGCTAGGGATAGCTTAAAATGCTTATATATGCATAATGCAATTTCCACAATGACATGTGATTCACAAAGACTACACATAGAAGCTGAGGTAGAAATGAAGGGTGTGAGGCATATACGAATTTAGTCCCAATAGTCATTTGAGGAAGGGAAATGCTTTGGCCTTACAGAATTCATACATATATGGTCTGAAAGGGAGATCATGCAGGTGTGGGATGGGGTAGGTTACTTTTTTTCCTTCTATTGTCAACAGCTACAATACAAGGAGTTGTGACTGGCAACTATAAGTGAATGAGCACAAGCCACAAGTTCTCCATTGAAAGTAGGAGGGGATGCACATTGGCCACAGTTTCCATACACACCCTGTTGGTAGAGCTATCCTTCACCCCAATCACTATTGTTTCTCTATTTTCATCAAGGTCATTATCATTATCTTAAACTACCGTTTACTTGTTCACTTATTTTCCGTTTACTAATGAAAGTGAAATCAATAAGAACTATGATTCTATCTCTGTTGTTTAGGATAGTGTCTCCAGTGCCTAGACAGCCATGTTATTTGTTAAATGAATATCCTCTGTTCCCTTCAATTCAGGACATTTATGTTATTTTCAGGATGATGCACCTTGGTCTAATATATGGAGTTACTTTGCCTTATAAAAACATATTATAGCTGGATAAGGTGGTTCATGCCTGCAATCCCAGTACATTCGGGAGGCCAAGGTAGGAGGACTGCTTGCTCCCAGGAATTTGAGACCAGCCTAGGCAACATAGTGAGATTCTGTTTCTTCAAAAAAAAAAAAAAAAAAAAAAAAAATTAGCCAGACATGGTGGCACCCACCTGTAGTCCCAGCTACTCAAGAGGCTGCGGTTGGAGAAATGCTTGAGCCTGAGAGGTTGAAGATTGAGTGAGCCATGATTGGGCTGCTGCACTCCATTCTGGGTGACAAAGTGAGACCCTCACCCTTGCTGTCTCTCTCTCTCTATTGCTGTTAAGTACCTACTATTTGGTATAATTCATCATTTTGAATTTGTCTTTTTATCTTATAAAAATGAAATAATGGTTTGTCACTAAGTACTAATAATTTTGTTGTACAATAGTATAAATAATTATATTTTGCCTAAATTAAAACTTTGTGTATTGTGTTTGTTTTTTATTAAGCCCTCAGCAAGGCAGAATATTTGACTCTGCACTTAAAAAAGGCAGAGGAAATATGACAAGTTATTGATGCTTTCCTCACTAAATTGGCCTTTGCTCAGTAACAGCTCTTGTAACTTTCTCTCATAGCTCTCAAAATGAATTGAAATTAGTTTCAAGGTTGGAAAAACCCCATAGCTTCATGAAGTATTCAGAATCTGTAGCATTTATTTTTTCTGGAAGTATTATCAGTCAACTCTGAAAACTTTTTTTCAGTGCCAGTGAATAGACATTTTCAGAATACACAATTTTCTGAAAACATTGTGGTAGCTTCATATGGACATGTGCTTTGATAGCCCCAAGGGATAGCAGATGTTTTTTGATAAAAAAGACCATATTTAGTATTTTTATTAAGCATATTCTAAGATTATTCTTTATGATTTACAGTAACGAATAATGACAGTCCTTATTTTTGTCTTCAACTCTGCTCCTTTTCAGTCTACTTTGTTGAAGTGCCTTAAGATTTGATCTGGAAAATCTTAAAATCTCTGTTTATATTAACTCCATACCTGATCTAATTTTGACCCACATGTATATAGTTTATACCTCTCTCCTAAGATTCAGATTCATGTTTACAATTGATTTATTGACATATCCACTTAAAAGTGCCAATAGGCCGGGCTCAGTTGCTCATGCCTGTAATCCTAGCACTTTGGGAGGCCAAGGTGGGTGGATTGCCTGAGCTCAGGAGTTTGAGACTAGCCTGGGCAATATGGTGAAACCCCATCTCTACTAAAATACAAAAAATTAGCCGGGCGTGTCGGTGTGTGCCTGTAATCCCAGCGACTCGGGAGGCTGAGGCAGGAGAATTGCTAGAACCCAGTAGGCAGAGGTTGCAGTGAGCCGAGATCGTGCCACTGCACTCCAGCCTGGGTGACAGAGTGAGGGAAAAAAAAAAGTGCCAACAATGTCTTAGATTTAACAAGTTCAAGACAACACTTATTGATTGTCTTATTCACCAAACAAGTTTTTTTCGTCATACTATTTGGCACCACTATTCATTCACTCTATCTCATAAAGCAAAAGTTGAAGTGTTTTTCTTCATTATTTCCATCTATTCCATTAGAAAGGCCCATCAAATCTACTTTAAAGATGTGTTTACCACTAACAACTTTTCTTTATCTCCTTTCACCTTTCAAAATAAAGTCACCATCATCCCCATATAGATTACTACAAGTGTCTCCCAAGGGCATTGATTTCAGTTTTAGTTAAGTTTTCCTTCTTAGAGAAAGGCCATTTCTATTTCCCAATTATTTGCTCCGGTGAGAGTCTAAGATGACTTGGCTCATATGGGTATCCCAGAGCCATCTATGGGACCAGAGGGAAACATTACTCTTGTTTGTCAAAAGTAACTACATGGAATTTTGGCTTAAGTGGAATCATCCCCACCCAAACCACAAGGACAAAAAAAAAATAAAAAGAAAAAACAAAAAAGAAAAGGAAAAGATCAATCCTAAGGGACTTTCAAGGTATTTTTTTTCCAAGAGAAGAGGAAATGGATATTGAGAAGGCAAAAATAATGGATATCTATCACTTTCATTTTGTCCTCTGCTATAGACTGAGTTGCATAACCTCAAATTAATATATTGAATCCCTAACCCCTCAGTGTGATTGTATTTGAAGATGGGGCCTTTGAGAGGTAACTTGTAAAAGCTTATTTTTTAAGCCATCCAGTCTATGTTATTTTGTCATAGCAGCTCAACTGGAGTAAGATACCCTTCTATGACAAATTCTTTACACATCCCACGGTATAATTATTTCAAAACTCAAGTTATATCATGCTACTACTTTGTAAAACCCTCCTAATGATTCTTACGCATTTATACTACATTTCAAATATCTTTTAATAGTTACAAGGCTGTGAGTAATCTGTATCTTTCCTACATTCAGCCTCATCTCATGCCAATTTCTCTCTCACCCACTATATACTCTTAAATGAAAGAAAAATCCTTAGGGCATTTATACTTGCTGTCCTCACTCCTTGGAGAACACTTTTGCCTATTTATGCTATCCTGTTCCTTCATGTCTCAGCTCAAATGTCACTTCCCTAGAGAGGCTTTCTCTGTATACCTACTCCTCCACTTATATTTGAAAGAATTCTTGGATAACTGCAATAATACTTGGGCTACTGTAATATCTAATTACTTTTACTATTAGTGCTCTATAATACTTATTCTATATTAGCATAAAGAAAGTTCCTTAGTCAATCAAATAATTCTTTTCCTGTCTTTAAAAAATATGTTTCTTTAAAAATGCACATTATTCCTTAAATAACCGAGAAATAAATCCACACATTTAAAACCAATTCATTTTTGACAAAGATGCCAAGAACATACATGGGGGAAAGGAAAGTCTCTTCAATAAATGGTGCTGGGAAAATTGGATAACTTATGCACAAGGAAAAAGCTAGATTCCTATCTCTTAACCTTATGCAAAAATCAAATCAAAATGAATTAAAAACTTAAATGTAGGAACTGAAACCATACAACTACTAGAAGAAAACATTGGGGAAATGTTTCAGGACATTGTTCTGTGCAAAGATTTTTTTAGATAAATCCTCAAATGCACAGGCAACAAAAGCAAGAATAAACAAATGGGATCATGTCAAGCTGAAATGCTTCTGCACAGCAAAGGAAATAATTAACGAAGTGAAGAGACAACTTACATAATGGGAGAAAATGGTTGCAAACTCTCCATCCAATGAGGGATTTATTACCAGAATGTATAAAGAACTCAAGCAACTCAATAGCAAGATATTTTCAAGTAATTGGATTAAAAAAACAGAAGATTTAAAAGATATTTCTCAAAAGAAGACACACAAATGGCCAACAGTTATATGAAAAAATGCTCAACATCATTAATCATCAGGGAAATGCAAATCAAAACCATAAGAGATATTTTCTCACTCCAGTTAAAATGGCTTTTACCAAAAAATAAAAGTGGATACCTGGCAAGACACAGAGAAAGAGGAATACTCATACACTGTTGGTGGTAATGTAAATTAGTACAGCCACTATAGAAAAGAGTATGAAGGTTCCTCAAAAAAATAAAAACAGAACTACCATGTGATTCAGTAATCTTACTGCTGAGTACATATCCAAAAGAGAGGACGTCAGTATGTCAAAGAGATACCTGCACTCCCGTGTTCATTGCAGCATTATTCCCTATAGTCAAATTTTGGAATTAGCCTGTGTTCATCAACAGATGAATGAATAAGGAAAATATGATGCATATACACAGTGGCCTATTAGCCATAAAAAATAATATAATCCTTTCATTTACAGCAACATGGATGGAACTGGAAGTCATTATGTTAAGTTAAATAAGCCAGGCATGGAAAGACAAATACCACATGCTCTTACTCATATGTGGAAGCTAAAATAGTGGAGCTTATGGAGATAGAGCTGATTCATGGCTACCAGAAGCTGGGAAGAGTTGAGGAGGAGAGAAAAGTCATTAGTTAATGAGTACAAAAACACATTTAGTTAGAAGGAATAAGATCTAGTGTTTGATAGTAGAATAAGGCAACTATAGTTAACAATAATTTTTTTGTGTAGTTCAAAATTGCTGGAAGAGAGCAATTGAAATGTTTCCAACATAAGAAGTGAATGGTTGGGGTGATGGATGCCCCAATTTCCCTGGCTTGTTCATTATATATTGTATCAAAATACTACATATATCCCCAAAATATGCACAACTATTATTAATAAAAAATAAAATCTTTAAAAAAGTATTATTCTTGTTTCTCCCTAGCTTTCCCTGCCTGCAAAAATATAGATCTAATTTTGTCCATTTTAAAATCAATATATCCTTCTGTTACTGTATCATGTAAGCTTTATTTTTTAAAGTTTATTTACATTTTTAACACTTCGCAAGATCTGATTTGGTCATGTTTAGAGTCTAGACTGTAACTCATGAAAATGTAAGATAAGTGATGGTACATATTTTAAAGTAACAATTGTAGAAGGAACTAAATATGTGTTTCCATTTGTGCTTTGAAATAAAATCAACTAAGAAGCATGTAAAGTAGCAGTGTTCAATTCACAAACAATATTTATACATAAATATGTCAGAAAAATTGGCTAGTGATATATTTACTGAACTGAATAGCAAGATTATAGTTATTTAAGACTATGCTCAGTCTCTTACTGAGGCCAAAAACATTATCTTTTTTTATTATAAAAAATGTAATTTTTATGTAGTAACAATATGATTATTAGTAAAAATTAAATGATGTATTTGAATGAGGATTAAATAAATTGGCATTAAAAAGTTTAAAAAGAAGCCATAATATATACATTACTTTTTATAAGTGGGTTATGTTTCAGTTTATAATTTTTTGGCTTAAAATTTAATATGAAAACTGTTACTATAATGTAAATTTTAACATTATTATTATTTGTATGATCTATATTCCTCAGTTAGAAACCAAATTGTTTGAAGGACCTATGCAACAGTGAAAATAAAGTCTAGTGGCATGATACTGTGGAAATAGCAATGACCAGTATTGTCAACAAGGTACCAAGAACTGAAGAAAGTCAGGTGCAGGAATCAAGGAAATAGATCTTGCAAGAGAAAAAAAGTCTTCAGTTTTGTTAATTTTAAAAGTGCCTTTTTTTTTTTTTTTTTTGAGACGGAGTCTCGCTCTGTCGCCCAGGCTGGAATGCAGTGGCGCGATCTCGGCTCACTGCAAGCTCCGCCTCCCGGGTTCACGCCATTCTCCTGCCTCAGCCTCCCGAGTAGCTGGGACTACAGGCGCCCGCTACCACGCCTGGCTAATTTTTTGTATTTTTAGTAGAGACGGGATTTCACCGTGTTAGCCATGATGGTCTCGATCTCCTGACCTCGTGATCCGCCCGCCTCGGCCTCCCAAAGTGCTGGGATTACAGGCGTGAGCCACCGCGCCCGGCCTAAAAGTGACTTTTATGTGGTAGATTTTTCCCAGTAACTTTTTGTTTAAACGACCTCTCCACACCTTCCAAAACTAGTTGTATGTTTGTTATGGGGACAATCACCTATTTGTGATCATTCTACTTGGCTCCTTACAGTTCACAGAACTGTGATTACAATGTTTTAGATCTTATCAATAACTTAATTCCACAAAGCCTTCACTTAATGATTTTAAGGAATTTTTAAGGTAAAATCATATAATTTTTATTTTTTAAAACATCAATGGACTTTTGAAAAAAGCAGTGTTAGGTATATTGAAAACTTTAGTAGAATGTATAGAGAACTCTCATATACTCCTTCTCTTTCCCTCTTTCCCTATACTGCAGTTTCCCCCATTATTATCTTTATTATTTTTAATGCTTCCTTAATTTTTGTACTAGGGAACTGGCAGAATTCTGGTATAACCTCCATAAATAAAATTTATTCTAAGCAATTTTAGATCTGCACACACTAGTGTAATGGTTAAAAGTATAATCTTTTGTGTCAAATGTTTGCATTTGTGAACAATTCTGGTTCATTGCTTGCTTGCCATGGAGCCTTGAGCAAGTTTGTTATCTTTGAGTCTCAATTCCTTTGTCTATGATGTAGGAATAATAATATCTACCTCACATTGTTTTTTGGTATTTCTTTTTGTTTGTTTGTTTGTTGTTGAGACAGGGTCTTGCTCTGTTGCCCAGGCTGGAGTGCAGTGGTACAATCATGACTCACTGCTGACTTGAGCTCCTGGGCTCAAGTGATCCTCTCAACTCAGCTTCCCCAAGTAGCTGGGACTATAGGTGCATGCCACCATGCCTGTCTAATTTTTGTATTTTTTGGAGAGATGAGCTTTCGCCATGTTGCCCAGGCTGGTCTCGAATTCCTGAGCTCAAATGATCCTCCTGCCTCAGCCTCCCAAAGTGCTATGATTACAGGTGTGAGCCGCCATGCCTGGCCTACATTGTTGATACGAGGATTAAATAGGATTATATAAATACAGCATTGATACAATGTCTATCTTAATAAGAATAATCATTATTTTTGTGTAATAAAAATAATGTCACTTTTTTTTTTTCCAAGAAATGGTGTGGATTTAAGGAACACTTAAGGAAACGTAATTTATGGCAGAAAGGAAAAATAATACGGTACAAAAAAGAGCATGGGCTACAGAGTGAAACTGTTTGAATCCCTATATCACTACATAAAAACTGGGTGACTTTTGACAAGTTGTTTAAATTAACTGGTTTATTTTTTCAATTAAAAAATGAAAACAGTTTTATTTATAAGTTATATTTATTTTATACTTTGAGAATTATCTATGTAAAACATAGAATTATATTTTGAGATAATCCATGTAAAACATCTCCCAAAGTGTATTTAACATAAATGGTCAAAGTATATGTACTTCGTATAAGGAACATGCATATTTACTCTTCTCTGGGTGTGTGAGATGATAAAATATAAATATGGTAAATGTGAACTATTTGGTTGATTTGAATTCAACAAAACTTTTGAAAAGTTTCTGTGCCAAAAGCTACCTAAATATGAAGCTCCCAACAGATTTCTAGTTATGATTTTATCATAAATGACTTTACTAAGATGTTATAGGTAAACAAACATGGCCACATCTCTACATGGGCTGTTGTGGTGTCATATACCCTCACTCTTTTCACTCCAAATTCAAAGGGCTCCACAGTTCTCAAATGGGTGATGTTGGCCTACTTGTCCAGCCTGTCTATGCTTTCATAGCTCAGCTATAAACTATTTATTATGACAGCCTGCCTGTTGAGGTGATTATATGTAAATGGTATATTTGTATATATGTACATACAAAGCTTTGGCATGACATCTAAAAGGCAAACAACTTAGGCACCATGCAAGAGATGGACTTTTATTGGAAGTAAGGAGGTCAAGATTATCTTCTCCCTTATGGTGGTAAGTTTTTCTTCTGTTTTGCAATGTTAAAAAAGCCAGTGTGTGTTCTTATCGAGAGACCCTCCACTTCGAAAGGTCAAGCAAAGATACATGGTGGGGCTAAGAGTAAAGGAAATAGGAAATGAATTTGTAGAGTTGGCCCTGCTCCAGGATTTACAATGAAGAGTTTAAAAGACTGTTGCTTTGTAGGAGAAGAAAGTAGAGTTTTTGATCAGGGGCCTAGCTAGGAATTAAAAATGTGCATACATGTGGTATCTTTGACATCATATTTCTCAGGAACTTCAAGCATGCTCTTAGAAGAGTAGAAGGCACATATTTCAGAGGCTAATATTAAAGGGAGGTGAATTTCTGGCTAGCAATTAACAAAGCAGTAGGCAATTATTGTTTTTTTCCCCAAGAGATCCAAAGTAATTTAACATTTTAAGTAAAAAATATTTGACCTCAGGTAGCATGATGCCTCCAGCTTTGTTCTTTTTGCTTAGGATTGTCTTGGCTATATGGGGTCATTTTGGTTCCATATGAAATTTAAAGTAGCTTTTTCTAATTCTGGGAAGAAAGTCAATGGTAGCTTGATGGGGATAGCATTGAATCTATAAATTACCTTGGGCAGTATGGCCATTTTCATGATATTGATTCTTCCTATCCATGAGCATGGAATGTTTTTCCATTTGTTTGTGTTCTCTCTTATTTTCTTGAGCAGTAGTTCGTAGTTCTCTTTGAAGAGGTCCTTCACATCCCTTGTAAGTTTTATTCCTAGGTATTTTATTCTATTTAAAGCAATTGTGAATGGGAGTTCACTCATGATTTGGCTCTCTGTCTATTATTGGTGTATAGGAATCCTTGTGAATTTTGCGCATTGATTTTGTATCCTGAGGCTTTGCTGAAGTTGCTTATCAGGTTAAGAAGATTTTGGGCTGAGACGATAGGGTTTTCTAAATATACAATCATGTCATCTGCAAACAGACAATTTGACTTTCTCTCTTCCTATTTGAATACCTTTATTTCTTTCGCTTGCCTGATTGCCCTGGCCAGAACTTCCAATACTATGTTGAATAGGAGTGCAGCATGGTACTGGTACCAAAAACAGATAAATAGTCCACTGGAACAGAACAGAGGCCTCAGAAATAATGCCACACATCTGCAAACATCTGATCTTTGACAAACCTGACGAAAACAAGCAATGGGGAAAGGATTCCCTATTTAATAAATGGTATTGGGAAAACTGGCTAGCCATATGCAGAAAACTGAAACTGGACCCCTTCCTTACACCTTATACAAAAATTAACTCAAGATGGATTAAAGACTTAAACATAAAACCTAAAACTATAAAAATCCTAGAAGAAAACCTAGGCAATACCATTCAGGACATAGGCATGGTCAAAGATTTCATGACTAAAACACAAACGCAATGGTGATGAAAACCAAAATTGACAAATGGGATCTAATTTTACCAAAGAGCTTCTGTTCAGCAAGAGAAGAACTATCATCAGAGTGAACAGGCAACCTACAGAATGGGAGAAAATTTTTGCAATCTATCCATCTGACAAAGGGCTAGTATCCAGAATCTACAAAGAACTTAAACAAATTTACAAGAAAAAAAAAACCACATCAAAAAGTGGGCAAAATGTATGAACAGACACTTCTCAAAAGAAGACATTTATGTGACCAATAAACATATGAAAAAAAAGCTCATCATCACTGGTCATTAGAGAAATGCAAATCAAAACCATGAGATACCATCTCATGCCAGTTATAATTTCTACTATAAAGATGCATGCACACGTATGTTTATTGCAGCACTGTTCACAGTAGCAAAGACTTGAAACCAACCCAAATGCCCATCAAGACTGGATGAAGAAAATGTGGCACATGTGTACCACGAAATACTATGCAGCAATAAAAAAGGATGAGTTCATGTCTTTTGCAGGGACATGGATGAAGTTGTAAACCCTCCTTCTCAGCAAACTCACACAGGAACAGAAAACCAAACACTTCATGTTCTCACTCATAATTGGGAGTTGAACAATGAGAATACATGGACACTGGGAGGGGAACATCAGACACTGAGGCCTGTCGGGTGGTGGGGGCCTAGGGGAGGGATAGCACTAGGAGAAATACCTAATGTAGATGATGGGTTGATGGGTGCAGGCCAACCACCATGGCATGTGTATACCTATGTAACAAATGTGCACGTTCTGCACGTGTATCCCAGAACTGAAAGTATTAAAAAAAAATATTTGACTGGGCTGGGTGCAGTGGCTCATGCCTGTAATCCCAGCATTTTGGGAGGCAGAGGCGGCTGGATCACAAGGTGAGGAGATTGAGACCATCCTGGCCAACATGGTGAAACACTGTCTCTACTAAAAATACAAAAATTAGCTGGGTGTGGTGGCATATGCCTGTAATCCCATCTACTTGGGAGGCTGAGGCAGGAGAATTGCTTGAATCAGAGAGTCAGAGGTTGCAGTGAGCTGAGATCACACCACCGCACTCCCGGCTGGAGACAGAGCGAGACTCTGTCTCAAAAAAAATTTTTTTTTGACTATATATATGTATTTCAAACAGCACTAAGCTATGAAATAGTGTTAAATCTAAGCTTGGAGAGATTTTAAGGACAAATAAGACACTGCGTCTTAGGTAGGTTAAAATGCTCTAAACCTTACAACCCTTAGTGACAGAGCTTGCAGGGGAAACCTGAGTTTCCCTCTCAGGGAACAGCTGATTGTTCTTCTCAGGACTTCGTGATGAAAAGTAGGAGAGTTTCTTTGTGTTGACATGCCAAACAATAGCTATATAACAATAAACATTAAGATGTAAGTAAACAATTTTTCAAGAGGATAACAGCCTCCAGCTCCATCCATCTTCCTGCAAATGACATAATCTTGTTCTTTTCTATGGCTGCCTAGTATTCCATTATGTATATGTATAACATTTTCTTTATCCAATCTGTCATTGATGGGCATTTAGGTTGATTCTATGTTTTTGCTATTTTGCATAGTGCTGCAATAAACATTCATATGCATGTGTCTTTATGGTAGAATTATTTAGGAACATAAACCAAATACCACATGTTCTCACATATAACTGGGAGCCAAATGATGAGAACTTATGAACACAAAGCAACAACTGACACTGGCATGTATTTGAGGATGAAGGGAGGAAGGAGGGAGAGGAGGAGAAAAGATAACTATTGGGTACTGGGCTTAATACCTGGGTGATGAAATTATCTGTACAACAAACCCCTGTGACATGAGTTTACCTATGTGACAAACTTTCACATATACTCCCCAAACATAAAATAAAATTTGAATTTTTTTTCAAGAAAAATCTTTTATAGATGCTAGTAACATTTGAAGAGTGGTCACTCATAGTTGCTCTCTGATAGATTTTCTGTCTTTGCACATCTTCTAAGGTGAAGAGGAAGTTTCTGCATGAGAGAGTTTAGTAGACTTGGCCCACTGCCTTAAATATCTTGATACACATATCTTTTAATCATGCTATAGATTTCTTTGCTTCTCTAACCGGAAGTTCCATGGAAAAGTAAGGCTTTGGACCATCTTAATAAGATTAATTTTTTAAAATGTTCCAGTTAACTGATTTTTATAAAAACATGCTATACATCTTTTACCTGTATGAAAACTTTTATATTTTTATCAGATATTCAAAAAATGTTAGATATTGAAGAAATTATGCAGCTCACTAAATAAGGATTTTTTTAAAAAAAAATACTATCAAACAGTTAACTGATTGGAAAATAGAAAAAGTTAATCTTATTAGAATGGTCCAAAGCCTTAAAGATTAAAGTTTCCAATTATTCTTTAATTACTGGCTTCTTGGAAAAAATAACAAATCCCCCTATTTCCAGTAATATCTATTTTAATCCATTTTAGATGTTGCTCTCAGATAGATGCTTCTAAGCTGTGGTTCTTATCCCTTTATGCTCTTGTTTACTTTGCAGTGGTTTGTCATTGTCTGTTACAGTAGATTCTAAGTAGGAGTGGACATATTTAAGTGAAGATACAAGATGATACACTAAGATATGGGAAAAACATATTAAAACTTTATTTGCATTGTCTTAATAATTAAGAGTATATATTTTATAAACGAGTGAATAAAGAGAAAGGTGTTGAGTGAGATCCTTTTCTAGTAAAGGCGTGATTATTAATACTTGGAATCACTGGTCTGTAGAATGAAATTGTCATAGCCAGGCATTCATTTACTCTGGAACATTTCACCCAACCATCACTTTCAGGCTACATCTATATTCAGTCTCCATTAGAGTCAAACTGAGGTGCTGCAGAAATTTCCTAATTTCCTAAGTGTTTATTCCCTCTGTCTGGAATGCTTCCCTTCATCCTTTTATGCTAAATTCTTAACTATTTTTCAAACTCTAGGTCAGATGCTATTTTCTTTATGAATATTTTTGTAGTTAGAATAGTTTTGATTATAAGTAGCAGAGAGCCACTCAAATTGCTATAATAAAGGAAATTTATAGGTTTATGACACAAAAAAGTTAAGATAAAGAAAAAGGTTCATGTACAATTTCATGAGGTGCCAGATTAATTTATACACAGTTCCCTTGTGTCTTTATTCCTTCATGTGATCTCTGTCCTTAGGTTGATTTCCTTTAGGGTTAGACAACGTTGGAGCAATTTTAAGTGTTACATTAACATTCCACATCACACAGAGCAAGAAAAAGAAAGCATCTCCCCAGTCTCTCCACCCACTCACCTCCAATTCAATAAAAGTTCTCGGCTTCATACTAAAATAGCTTAGGTGATATTCTCACTGATATAGGCTGATAAATGCTGATTAGATTAGATCATCAGAGCTTACCTCTGATCTAAGTTGGTCAGGGTCCTCCCCTGGAGTTTGCAGGTCATCAATTTCATGGCTGTTTGTAATTGATAAAAAAAAAAATAATTGCTAAGGAGGCAAACCACAATGTCTGCTATAAGCCTTAAGCTGTTTACTAGCTAAAAGAGGACTCTTCATCTCCTGAATACTATGATATTTTATTTATATGCTTTCTTTTATCACTTATTTTTTCTTGTATTATAGCAATTTTCTTTCATATTTGCCAGGTTTTAAGTGTCTTGAGAAGCAAGTACTCATATCTGTTTTATCATTTTATTCAACTTTCCCCTATGTGGCATCCAGCACAATGCTTTGTTGAATTAGAATATATGAATAAATGAACTTACAAATGAATGAAGAAATAAATGGGTAAAATGATTGTATAAAATTATTGCTCTTTAAATACAGTGTCTTTTTTGTTAGAAGATTTCAAACAAAACTTAGCAGAAAATGTTCAGCTATGGAAAGGACTCATGTATTAGAGAAGTGCTGGATGCAATAAATTCCAAGACAACTTATATTTTAACAATTTATTTATTTCTTGAATATTTGATCTTTTGAGGTGGATGGTGTCTTTTAAGTGGCTTCTTATTAACTACATATCTTTTGTCATCTGCAGTTATTCCATGGAAAAATGTTATTTGTCTAGAAAGTAAAAAAAAAAAAGTACAAAGTGGTTGTAATGGCACATTAACCTGCCAAATGTTATGCTTCTGTATAGGAAGAAGTTAAACCTTGGACAATTCTTACTTTTATTTAAATGAATAAGAGTAACAACCCTATTATTAGATAAATTAATCAAGCTTTCTTTGAAAAGATAACTTCTTCTCATCAGAATGTTAATTAAATGAATAAAATGTATATAGTTTTTATGCTCACAGATTCACTTTAAATGAAGGGTTTATTTCACATAATATATTAAGCTATAGATAATGAAAAGTATTTTTACATCACCTTATCCTTGTTATCAGAAATCCTTTCCCCAATAATGTTTCACTGAAGCATTAGATCCACATTGGTCTCCAAACTCATATACTATGGTTTATTTGAATAATCTACATAGGCCTCATAGTAAAAAACTGAACCCATAATCTGCTCCTATAAAACCAGTTTCTCCTCTAATGTTAACTCTCTTGGCAAGTGCGTTAAATCATTCTTGCATTTCTATAAAACAATACCTGAAACTGGGTGATTTATAAAGAAAAGAGGCTTAATTGGCTCACATTCTGCAGGCTTTACAGGAAGCATGCTGCGGATGCTTGCTGGGCTCCTGGGGAGGCTTCAGGAAGCTTACAATCTTGACAGAAGGCAAAGGGGGAGCAGGCATGTCACATGGTGAAAGCAGAAACAAGATAGAGGGGAGGTGTCACACACTTAAAAATGACCAGATCTAATGAGAACTCACTCACTACTGTGAAGGGACAGTACCAAGTGGATAGTGCTAAACCATTCATGAAAAATTCACCCTCGTGATCCAATCACCTCCCACCAGACCCCATCTCCAACACTGGGACTTACATTTCAACATGACATTTAGGTGGGGACAACATCCACACTATACCAGCAAATGATTTTTTAATCACTGAGTTGCCCTTTCAGAAACCTGGGAGACATCCTTAATCCTTCTACCTTACTCCTCACATCCACTTTATTATCAAATCTTGCCAATTCTACTTCCCAAATGTGCAAAATATGTCTTGAATGTGTTCATGTCTCTCAAACTGTATTGCTACTACTTGAAGCTACCATGATAAATTGCCTAGACTTAGACAAATAGCCTCTAAACTGGTTTTCCTGTTTCTAATCTTGACTTTCTCCATTCCAGTACTCACACTTTCACCAGATTGTAAAAACAGCAACAAAAAAACCATGTTATAGGCCCTTAATATCTTTCCATTGCTCTGTGGATAAATGTAAAAATCTACAGGATTCAGATAATATGGTTCCTGCCTGTTTTTACATCCTCATGGCTATGGTTTAGATATTTGACTTCCCCAAACTTCATGTTGAAACTTAATCTCCTGTTGAAGGTGGGGCCTAATGGGAGGTGTTTGGGTCATGAGGGCAGATCCCTCATGAATGGCTTGGTGTGGTCCTCATGTAATGAGTGAGTCCTCACTCTACTAGTTCCAATGAGAGTTGGTTGTTAAAAAGGGCCTGGCACCTCCCCTCTGTCTCTCTCACTTCATTTCTTGCCACATAATCTCTCTATAGACTGGCTCCTTTTTGACACCATGAATGGAAGCAGCCTGTGGCCCTTACCAGATGCAATGCCAGTGCCACGCATAAGCCAAATAAAACTAAAACAAAAAATTAGTTACTCAGTCTTAGGTGTTCCTTCATAGCAACACAAAAGAGTTAAGACACTCATCTTGCACTAATCATCTCCCTCTCTTGCTCACTTTGCTCCATCCACACCAACCTTTTCTATCCCTAAAATGTACTAAGATCTGTTGCCCTCATAACCCTTGCTTATACTGCTTCCTGTATGTGAGATATTCTTTTCACCTGTAATATAAACACACATACTTTCTCCCTTTCTCCTCTCTCTCTCTCTTTTTTTTTTTTTTTTTTTTTTTGAGACGGAGTCTTGCTCAGTCTCCCAGGCTGGAGTGCAGTGGCGCGATCTCGTCTCACTGCAGGCTCCGCCTCCCAGGTTCACGCCATTCTCCTGCCTTAGCCTCCCGAGTAGCTGGGATTACAGGCGCCCGCCACTACGCCCGGCTAATTTTTTGTATTTTTAGTAGAGACGGGGTTTCACCGTGTTAGCTGGGATGGTCTCGATAACCTGATCTTGTGATCTGCCCATCTCGGCCTCCCAAAGTGCTGGGATTACAGGCGTGAGCCACCACGCCCGGCGATTTTTTTTTGTTTTTTTTTCAGATAGGGTCTCACTCTGTTGCCCAGGCTGGAGTGCAGTGGTACAATCAGAACTTCACCTCCTGGGATTCAAGTGATCTGCCCACCTCTGCCTCCCATGTAGCTGGGACTATAGGCTCACGCAACCATGCCTGGCTAATATTTTTTTCTTAACTTTTGTAGAGAGAGGTTTTCTTCATGTTGCCCAGGCTCACTTGCTCTCCTTTCTAATTTAGCTAACTCCTACTCATCCTTCAACTATTAAATTAAATATTAGTTTAATTTGTCAGGGCACCATTCCCAGAACCTCTTGCCAGATTAGGTTATTTCCTCCTTTTGTAAACTTTCATAGCCATCTCTACTTTTGCTTAATAATATGCATAACAATCATTAAATAGTTATTTGAGCAATTATTTGTTAAGTATCTGTCTTCTCTATTACTGTATATCTACAATGAGGGTAGGCACTGCATTTATTTTGTTCATCATTGTTGCTACCTAACATAATGCCTAACATTTACTATGAACTCAATAAATGTATATTAAATAAATGAATAATAAAACGCATTACAGAAGGATAAGATTTACTGAATTATTCCATTTGTCAAAGGTAGCTCATAAACAGAAGGAGACAAGATGTAGCCTCCTGGAAAGGGAGAATATGAAGCCAAAGCAAAAGCGTTGTTCACTTAAATTTTTAAAACATGACCCATAAATAACACTTTTTTCTCTTACATCTTCCAGGTACTGACTTTGATTTTGCCTGCATCAGTTTCTTGAACCAATATTATTCTTCTCTAGTTTTAGTCTCTCTCCAAATTTTTCTTCATGTCATGTCAGTCATAAATTTTGATCATTTTATTTCATTGTGATATCATTACATAATATTCCTTTTAATCCCACTGGCACTGCTGTATTGCACAGCACAATTATCCTCAGTCTTCTGCAAAAGTCTCATGATACATCTTTCTACCTCCAATTAATATAGCACTCTTAATGCCAGATTAATCTTCCTAAAGCAATTCTCTATTTATGTCACTAATAGTTCAAAAGTTTTCATTTACTCTTTGTCATTCTATAAAAGAAATCTAGGTATTTTACTATAGCATTCATGGACTTTAATTATTCTCTTCTGTTTCTTTTTTATTATTATACTTTAAGTTCTGGAATACATGTCTAGAACGTGCAGGTTTGTTACACGTGCCATGGTGGTTTGCTGCACCCATCAACCCGTCAACTGCATTAGGTATTTCTCCTAATGCTATTTGTCACCTAGCCCCCATCCCCCACAGACCCCAGTGTGTGATGCCCCCCCACCCTCATGTCCATGTGTTCTCATTGTTCACCTCTCACTTATGAGTCGGAACATGCGGTGTTTGGTGTTTGGTTTTCTGTTCTCGTGGTAGTTTACTGACAATAATGGTTTCCAGCTTGATCCATGTCCCTGCAAAGGACATGAACACATCCTTTTTATGGCTGCGTAGTATTCCATGGTGTATATGTGCCACATTTTCTTTATCCAGTCTATTATTGATGGCCATTTGGGTTGGTTCCAAGTCTTTGCTATTGTGAACAGTGCTGCAATAAACATATGTGCATGTGTCTTTATAGTAGAATGATTTATAATCCTTTGGGTATATACCCAGTAACGGGATTGCTGGGTTAAATGGTATTTCTAGTTCCAAATCCTTGAGGAATTGCCACACTGTCTTCCACAATGATTGAACTAATTTACACTCCCACCAACAGTGTAAAAGCATTCCTATTTCTTCACATCCTCTCCAGCATCTGTTGTTTCCTGACTTTTTAATGATCGCCATTCTAACTGGTGTGAGATGGTATCTCACTGTGGCTTTGATTTCCATTTCTCTAATGACCAATGATGATGAGCTTTTTTTCATATGTTTGTTGACTGCACAAATGTCTTCTTTTGAGAAGTGTCTATTCATATCCTTTGCCCACTTTTTGATGGGGTTGTTTGTTTTTTTTTCTTGTAAATTTGTTTAAGTTCTTTGTAGATTCTGGATATTAGCCCTTTGTCAGACGGATAGATTGCAAAAATTTTCTCCCATTCTGTAGGTGGCCTGTTCACTCTGATGATAGTTTCTTTAGCTGTGCAAAAGCTCTTTAGTTTAATTAGATCCTATTTGTCAATTTTGGCTTTTTTTGCCATTGTTTTTGGTGTTTTAGTCATGAAGTCTTTGACCATGCCTATGGCCTGAATGGTATTGCCTAGGTTTTCTTCTAGGGTTTTTATGGTTTTAGGTCTTATGTTAAAGTCTTTAATCCATCTTGGGATAATTTTTGTATAAGGTGTAAAGAAGGGATCCACTTTCATCTTTCTGCATATGGCTAGCCAATTTTACCAACACCATTTATTAAATAGGGAATCCTTTCCCCATTGCTTGTTTTTGTCAGGTTTGTCAAAGATCAGATGATTTTAGCTGTGTAGTGTTATTTCTGAGGCCTCTGTTTTGTTCCATTGGTCTATATCTGTGTTTTGGTACCAGTACCATGCTGTTTTGGTTACTGTAGCCTTGTAGTGTAGTTTGAAGTCAGGTAGCATGATGCCTCCAGCTTTGTTCTTTTTGCTGAGGATTGTCTTGGTTATGCGGGGTCTTCTTTGGTTCCATATGAAATTTAACGTAGTTTTTTCCAATTCTGTGAAGAAAGTCAATGGGAGCTTGATGGGGATAGCATTGCATCCATAAATTGTCTTGGGCAGTATGGCCATTTTCACAATATTGATTCTTCTTCTCCATGAGCATGGAATGCTTTTTCATTTGTTTGTCTTCTCTCTTATTTCCTTGAGCAGTTGTTTGTAGTTCTTGAAGCGGTCCTTCACATCCCTTGTAAGTTGTATTCCTAGATATTTTATCCTCTTTTTAGCAATTGTGAATGGGAGTTCACTCATGATTTAGCTTTTGTCTATTGTTGGTGTATAGGAATGCTTGTGAATTTTGCATATTGATTTTGTATCTTGAGACTTCACTGAAGTTGCTTATCAGCTTAAGGAGATTTTGTGCTGAGACAATGGGGTTTTCAGAATATACAATCATGTCATCTGCAAACAGAGACAATTTGACTTCCTCGCTTCCTAATTGAATACCCTTTATTTCTTTCTCTTGACTGATTGCCCTGGTCAGAACTCCCAATACTATGTTGAATAGGAGTGGTGAGAGAGGGCACGTTTGTCTTGTGCTTGTTTTCATTGGTCCTGTTTATGTGATGGATCACATTTATTGATTTGCGTATGTTGAATCAGGCTTGCATTCTAGGAATGAAGCCTACTTGATCGTGGTGGATAAGCTTTTTGATGTGCTTCTGGATTCGGTTTCCCAGTATTTTATTGAGGATTTTTGCATCGATATTCATCATGGATATTGGCCTGAAATTTTTTTTTGTTGTGTCTCTGCCAGGTTTTGGTATCAGGGTAAGTCCGGCCTCTTACAATTAGTTAGGGAAGATTCCCTCTTTTTCTATTGTTTGGAATAGTTTCAGAAGCAATGGTACCAGCTCCTCTTTCTACCTCTGGTAGAATTCGGCTGTGAATCTGTCTGGTCCTGGATTTGTTTTTTGGTTAGTAGGCTATTAATTACTGCCTCAATTTTGAAACTTTTTATTTGTCTATTCAGGGATTTGACTTCTTCCTGGTTTAGTCTTGGGAGGTTGTATGTGCCCAGGAATTTATCCACTTCTTTTAGATTTTCTAGTTTCTTTGCGTAGAGGTGTTTATAGTATTCTCTGATGGTAGTTTGTATTTCTGTAGGATCAGTGGTGATAGCCCCTTTACCTTTTATTGTGTCTATTTGATTCTTGTTTCTTTCTTCTTTATTAGTCTGGTTAGCAGTCTATCTATTTTGTTGATCTTTTTAAAAAAGCAGCTCTTGGATTCATTAATTTTTTGAAGGGGTTTTCATGTCTGTATCTCCTTCAGTTCTGCTCTGATCCTAATTATTTCTTGCCTTCTGCTAGCTTTTGAATTTGTTTGCTCTTGCTTCTCTAGTTCTTTTAATTGTAAGTTAGGGTGTCAATTTTAGATCTTTCCTGCTTTCTCTTGTGGGCATTTTGTGCTATAAATTTCTCTCTACACACTGCTTTAAATTTGTCCCAGAGATTCTGGTATGTTGTGTCTTCGTTCTCATTGGTTTCAAAGAACATCTTTACTTCTGCCTTAATTTTGTTACCCAGTAGTCATTCTGGAACAGGTTGTTCAGTTTCCATGTAGTTGTGTAGTTTTGAGTGAGTTTCTTAATCCTGAGTTCTAATTTGATTGCACTGTGGTTTGAGAGACTGTTATGATTTCCATTCTTTCACATTTGCTTAGGAGTGTTTTACTTCCAATTATGCTGCCAATTTTAGAATAAGTGCAATGAGGTGCTCAGAAGAAGGTATGTTCTGTTGATTTGGGGTGGAGACTTCTGTAGATGTATATTAGGTCCGCTTGGTCCAGAGCTGAGTTCAAGTCCTGGATATCCTTGTTAATTTTCGGTTTTGTTGATCTGTCTAACATTGACAGTGGGGTGTTAAAGTCACCCACTATTATTTTGTGGTAGTCCAAGTCTGTTTGTAGGTCTCTAAGAACTTTCTTTATGAATCTGGGTGCTCCTGTATTGGGTGCATATATATTTAGGATAGATAGCTCTTCTTGATACATTGATACCTTTACCATTATGTAATGCCTTTCTTTGTCTCTTTTGTTCTTTGTTGGTTTAAAGTCTGTTTTATCAGAGACTAGGATTGCAACCCCTGCTTTTTTTTGTTCACTTTCGATTTGCTTGATAAATCTTCCTCCATCCATTTATTTTGAGCCTATGTGTGTCTTTGCATGTGAGATGGGTTTCCTGAATATAGCACACTGACGGGTCTTGACTCTTTATCCAATTTACCAGTCTGTGTCTTTTAATCAGGGCATTTAGCCCTTTTACATTTAAGGTTAATATTGTTATATGTGGATTTGATCCTGTCATTGTGATGCTGGCTGGTTACTTTGCCTGTTAGTTGATGCAGTTTCCTCATAGCGTTGATGGTCTTTACAATTTGGTATGTTTTTGCTGTGGCTGGTACTGGTTGTTCCTTTCCATGTTTCGTGCTTCCTTCAGGAGCTCTTCTAAAGCAGGCCTGGTGGTAAGAAAATGTCTCAGCATTTTCTTCTCTGTAAAATACTTTATTTTGCTTATGAAGCTTAGTTTGGCTGGATAAGGAATTCTGGGTTGAAAATTCTTTTCTTTAAGAATATTGAATATCGGCTCCCATTCTCTTCTGTCTTGTAGAGTTTCTGCTAAGAGATATGCTGTTAGCCTGAGGGGCTTCCCTTTGTGGGTGACCCAGCTTTTCTCTCTGGCTGCCCTTAACATTTTTTCCTTCATTTCAACCTTGGTGAATCTGATGATTATGTGTCTTGGGGTTGCTTTTCTCAAGGAGTATCTTTGTGGCGTTATCTGTATTTCCTGAATTTGAATGTTGGCCTGCCTTGCTAGGGTTGGGGTGTTTCTCCTGGATAATGTGCTGAAGAGTGTTTTCCAGCTTGGTTCCATTCTTCCTGTCACTTTCCGGTACACCAAACAAACATAGATTTTGTCTTTTCACATAGTCCCATATTTCTTGGAGACTTTGTTCATTTGTTTTCACTCTTTTTCCTCTAATCTTGTCTTCTCGCTTCACTTCATTGAGTTGATCTTCAATCTGTGATATTCTGTCTTCTGCTTGATTGATTCAGCTATTGATACTTGTGTATGCTTCATGAAGTTCTCGTGCTGTGTTTCTTGGCTCCATCAGGTCAATTGTGTTCTTCTCTAAACTGGTTATTCTAGTTAGCAATTCATCTAGCTTTTTTTCAAAGTTCTTAGCTTCCTTGCATTGGGTTAGAACATGCTCCTTTAGCTTGGTGGACTTTGTTATTACCCACCTTCTGAAGTCCACTTATGTCAATTTGTCAAAATCCTTCTCTGTTCAATTTTGTTCCCTTGCTGGCGAGGAGTTGTGATCCCTTGGAGAAGAGGTGTTCTGGTTTTTGGAATTTTCAGCCTTTTTGTGCTCGTTTCTCCCCTTCCTCATGGATTTATCTACCTTTGGTCTTTGATATTGGTGATGTTCGGATGGGGTTTTGGTGTGGACGTCCTTTTTGTTGATGTTGATATGATTCCTTTCTGTTCGTTAGTTTTCCTTCTAATAGTCAGGCCCTTCTGCTGCAGGTCTGCTGGAGTTTGCTGGAGGTCCACTCCAGACCCTGTTTGCCTGAGTATCACCAGCGGAGGCTGCAGAACAGCAAAGATTGCTGCCTGTTTCTTCCTCTGGAAGCTTTGTCCCAGAGGGCCACCCACCAGATGCCAGTCAGAGCTCTCCTGTATGATGTGTCTGTCAGTCTCTACTGGGAGTTGTCTCCCAGTCAGTTTACATGGCGTTCAGGGACCCACTTGAGGAGGCATTCTGTCCCTTAGCAGAGCTCTAACACTGTGCTGGGACATCTGCTGCTCTCTTCAGAGCCATCAGCCAGGGACGTTTAAGTCTGCTGAAGCTGTGCCCCCAACCGCCCCTTTCCCCAGGTGCTTTGTCCCAGGGAGATGGGGGTTTTGTCTATGAGTCCCTGACTGGGGCTGCTGCCTTTTTTTCAGAGATGCCCTGCCCAGAAAGGAGGAATCTAGAGAGGCAGTCTGGCCACAGAGCCCTTGCTCAGCTGCAGTGGGCTCCACCCAGTTCATACTTCCAGGTGCGTTTGTTTATACTGTGAGGGTAAAACCTCCTACTCAAGCCTCAGCAATGGTGGACTCTCCTTCACCCACAGAGCTTGAGCTTCCCAGGTCGACCTCAGACTTCTGTGCTAACAGCAGGAATTTCAAGCTAGTGGAACTTAGCTTGCTGGCCTCCATGGGGGTGGGACCCGCCAAGCCAGAGCACTTGGCTCCCTGGCTTCAGTCCCCCTTCCAGGGGAGTGAACAGTTCTGTCTCGCTGGTGTTCCAGGTGCCACTGGGATAGGAAGGAAGGAAGGAAGGAAGGAAGGAAGGAAGGAAGGGAGGGAGGGAGGGAGGGAGGGAGGGAGGGAGGGAGGGAGGGAGGGAGGGAGGGAGGAAGGGAGGAAGGGAGGAAGGGAGGAAGGGAGGAAGGGAGGAAGGGAGGAAGGGAGGAAGGGAGGAAGGGAGGAAGGGAGGAAGGGATCCTGCAACTAGCTCAGTGTCTGCCCAAACTGCCACCCAGCTTTCTGCTTGAAACCCAGGGCCCTGGTGGCATAGGCAATGGAGGGAATCTCCTGGTCTGCGGGTTATGAAGACCATGGGAAAAGTGTAGTATCTGGGCCACAGTACACCATTCCTCCTGGTACAGTCTCACAGTTTCCCTTGGCTGGGAAAGGGAGATCCCCTGACCCCTTGTGCTTCCTGTGTGAGGTGACTCCCCACCCTGCTTCGGCTTGCCCTCCGTGGGCTGCACCCACTCTCCAACAGTTCCAATGAGACGAATCAGGTATCTCAGTTGGAAATGCAGAAATCAGCTGCCTTCTACATCCATCTCGCTGGTTGCTGCAGACAGGAACTGTTCCTATTCATCCATCTTGCCAGTCCAATCTCTTCTGTTTCTTCTTTCTTTTTTTTTTTCTTTTTTTTTGCAGTTGCAAGATTTAATAGAGTGAAATCAGAGCTCCCATACAAAGGGAGGGGAACCAGAGGGTAGCTGTTGCTGGCTCGAATCCCTGGGTTTATATCCCGATCATTGTCCATCCTGCTGTGCTCTCAGGTGATAGGTGATTGGCTGTTCCTTTACCTCCTATGAATTCTCGGGGTCAGTGAAACCAATTCATACATATCTATCTCCACACTTTCACTAATTCCTTTCTTTCTTCTTGGAATATCTTCTTTTATTACTTTTTGTGTTTTTTACTTTCATATGTATTTTCTGACTGCTTCTACTGATAAAAATCTCTCCTTTTTCTGAATTTTTTTCTCTACTTTCTGGGCTAATCACTTGATACTATATATTATTTCTATCATTTACTTTAAAGTGTATAAGTTGAACCCCAAACTTAATTGCTAATAATTTGAAAACTTTATTGTAGTTCCAGCATCTAGGAGAGTATCTAGTAAGTTAATTGTAATTTTTTGTAACTGACTATAGGGCCAGCATTAGAATAGTATGTAATAATAAATATAACTCAAAAAAAGTTATGTTAATGATGATGGGTAATATTTTGAGGACAGAAGTTGGGCAAAATAAACAGAAAATTTTGAGGAAAGCATGTAGCATATCTTTAAGGATGAGGATAACTGAATTCACTTGAGATTCCTAATGGTTGATGAGGATACCTAGCAGTATATCAGCTTTAGCTGAATTGTTCCCTGATGCACATGAAGATGAGGGAAGAACATTTCAATGGATAGAATGGCATGACCAAAGGTTCAGAGTGTGGAAATATATGTGTACAGAAGATTTACTAATTTAATAATAGAGGAAATTGCTCACACCATGTGGGGAACATTAGATGACTATTTCTTTAGTAGGGAAAAAGTAAAACTGTGCTTATGTGAAAAAAAAATGTTTTGTAGGAGCTGTTTTAAAAGATTTTTTCTGGCCGAGCACGGTGGCTCACGCCTGTAATCCCAGCACTTTGGGAGGTTGAGTCAGGTGGATCACCTGAGGTCAGGAGTTCAAGGCCAGCCAGACCAACATGGTGAAACCCTGTCTCTACTAAAAATGCAAAAATTAGCCAGGCATGGTGGCACACACTTGTAATTCCATCTACTCAGGAGGCTGAGGCAGGAGAATCACTTGAACCCGGGAGGCGGAGGTTGCAGTGAGCCGAGATTGCACCACTGCACCCTAGCCTGGGCAACGCGAGATTCCATCGCAAAAAAAAAAAAAAAGAATTTTTCTTTCACTACCAACCTTCCTTTTTGAAGAGGTTTAAAAAATTGATCAACAGCTCTTTTAGGCTCCATGGGTGTAGGACCCTCTGAGTCATGTACGGGATATAATCTCCTGGTGTGCCGTTTGCTAAGACCATTGGAAAAGCGCAGTATTAGGGTGAGAGTGACCCGATTTTCCAGGTGCCGTCTGTCACCCCTTTCTTTGACTACACCATGGAATACTATGCAGCCATAAAAATGATGAGTTCATGTCCTTTCTAGGGACATGGATGAAGCTGGAAACCATCATTCTCACCAAACTATCACAAGGACAAAAAACCAAACACCGCATGTTCTCACTCATAGGTGGGAATTGAACAATGAGAACACATGGACACAGGAAGGGGAACGTCACACACTGGGGCCTGTTGTGGGGTGGGGGGAGGAGGGAAGGATAGCATTAGGAGATATACCTGATGTTAAATGATGAGTTAATGGGTGCAGCACACCAACATGGCACATGTATACATATGTAACTAACCTGCACGTTGTGCACATGTACCCTAAAACTTAAAGTACAATGAAAAAAATTGATCAACAGAAGAATAGAATTAGAGTATTTGACAGTATTTAGCAAAGCAAGTAAATAAAACTACACAAACTGAAGAACAACAGGAACCAACTGTTCACATCTTTTGCCTGAATAGATTGATAAACTATTTCTTGATACATTTGTATTATAAATATTGTCACTTTATGCATCTAACTCAAAAAAATACCCCTATAATTTGAAATTTTTTTTTCTTTCCTGGGATGTTGGTTTCTGATCCACGTTGAACTAGAGAAGATTTAAAGAAGTGAAAATTTATGGAATTCAATACTTATAATAACAAATTCTTAAATTTGGGAATGAAAAGAGAGTCTATAGAGTAAATAATTGTGAAAGATTATTTTCGGTTTAACAGAAGTCGAGCACACAAAACAATACAAACTGGTTTCTTAATAATAAACTAATATCTTACTCTACTTTTAGAGGAAATTTGATACTCTCCATTTCTTGCCTCCCGTAACATAATTTATTACATATCCTTTACATGTTATCATGTTAATGAGAGATGCTTGAGTATTAAGCTACACACTAAATAACTTGGTTGTGTTTTTAATTGCTTTCTCAGTTTTGTGTTTTTATTTTGATTTGCCTTGATTTTGACTCCACTTACTTAAAATCACTCATTAGACTTTTGTTGCAGAACCTATTAAGTAATGAATGAGTGAATTATAGAAGGTAGGCAAGTAGGTTATTTTATTTTGTTTTTTAAGTGTGAGCTTGGAGGGTTCCAAGGCATTCAAATATTTATGCTGGCTTCTTTTCCACAGGCATAAAGTAGCTAAGATAGTTACCAATAAAAGCATTCACATCTTCTTAATATCTCTCCACTTTTATCTGTGGTTACCAATGAAACTATAATTTAGTTATTTTTATCAGTATCCTCTTTAATTTCTCATACTGTGGTCATAATCAAGGTTAAAACTGAAGAGGACAAAGCAGAGGAGCAAGGTACATGCACCCATAACAGTCTTTTTCCCAAAGTCAGCATGTTTTCCTTAGTGACCTGGTGACCTTTCTAATTTTTCATATTGGAGCACAAAATAGTATTGTTATAACATCGTTTATGTCTATATGGCACTATCATTGTATCTTTGACTGAAGATTTATGAAATCAAATCATCACATCCAAGCCGCTGGAATGGTGACAAAGTAATAGGTCGTTGGGACAATCTAAGACTTCCGTGGCAGACAAATTAAGTCTTCTGTTGTCACCTGCCTCTAAGTGTAAGTAAGGATGCTGGAAGGTAGGAAAAGGGCATAATTTCACCTTTTGACACAAACTCTCATTGCTAGCTGAGTAACATATTTTCTTTGAGTTGATTTTAGGAACTCTGGAAAGCACTGGAGACGTACATTACATTTTTTAGTGGTCTAGCTGATAGTACTATGGTCTGAAAGGTTGAATGCATTGAATGCCCATTTGAAAGGAACTAATGGTCCTAGAAAGATGGATCACTGTTTCTGGCTGAAATTACATTTTAATAGAATTTCAACAAAACAACATACATTTTAATAAGTTTCACAAAATGGCAACATTTTCAACATGCAAAAGAAATAGCGAGAATGGTGATAGTATTTAACTCAGCATATGTAACATGGAAGTTCTGGAATATTGTGACAAGGTACAGAATGTACAAGTGGTTACTGTCTTTACTATTATAGTAATAATGGAGGTGGTTTAATGATTTATAGTTAAGAGTCTTGGAAACATGGGATCTACACTATAAAAAAGGTTATTCTATTCTTGGGGTGATAGTGGTAGGGAAGAAGGTAGGAAACAGACCATGAAGTAGGAGAGAGATGAATTGTGTATGTATTATCATGGAACACAGACTTTTGGTCTGAGAGCAATGCTTAATATATTCTATTCCCTCTGTGTTATCCCACTTATCTCTACATATGTCTAGATTAGGAGTTGGCAAGCATTTTTTAGGAAGGAACAGTTAGTAAACCTTTTAGGCTTTCTGGGTCAAATAGTCTCTGTTTTAATTATTTAACTCTGCCACTGTAGCCATAGACAATATGTAATCAAATGCATATGGCTGTCTTTCAACATGACTTTACTTTTTTTTTTTTTTTTACTATACAGCTTTTATTTTATTTATTTATTTTTTACTTCTTTTTTAATTTTATTATTATACTTTAAGTTTTAGGGTACATGTGCACAACGTGCAGGTTTGTTACATATGTATACTATTGTCATGTTGGTGTGCTGCACCCATTAACTCATCATGTAGCATTAGGTATATCTCCTAATGCTATCCCTCCCCCCTACTCCCACCCCACAACAGTCCCCGGTGTGTGATGTTCCCCTTCCTGTGTCCATGTGTTCTCATTGTTCAATTCCCATCTATGAGTGAGAACATGTGGTGTTTGGTTTTTTGTCCTTGTGATAGTTTGCTGAGAATGATAGTTTCCAGTTTCATCCATGTCCCTAGAAAGGACATGAACTCATCATTTTTTATGGCTGCATAGTATTCCATGGTGTATATGTGCCACATTTTCTTAATCCAGTCTCTCGTTGTTGGACATTTAGGTTGGTTCCAAGTCTTTGCTATTGTGAATAGTGCCGCTATAAACATATGTGTGCGTGTGTCTTTATAGCAGCATGATTTATAATCCTTTGGGTATATACCCAGTAAAGGGATGGCTGGGTCAAATGGTATTTCTAGTTCTAGATCCCTGAGGAATCTCCACACTGACTTCCACAATGGTTGAACTAGTTTACAGTCCCACCAACAGTGTAAAAGTTTTTCTGTTTGTCCACATCCTCTCCAGCACCTGTTGTTTCCTGACTTTTTAATGATCGCCATTCTAACTGGTGTGAGATGGTATCTCATTGTGGTTTTGATTTGCATTTCTCTGACGGCCGGTGATGATGAGCATTTTTTCATGTGTTTTTTGGCTGCATAAATACAGCATATCTACAACTATCTGTTCTTTGACAAACCTGACAAAAACAAGCAATGGGGAAAGGATTCCCTATTTAATAAATGGTGCTGGGAAAACTGGCTGGCCATATGTAGAAGGCTGAAACTGGATCCCTTCCTTACACCTTATACAAAAATTAATTCAAGATGGATTAAAGACTTAAATGTTAGACCTAAAACCATAAAAACCCTAGAAGAAAACCTAGGCAATACCATTCAGAACATAGGCATGAGCAAGGACTTCATGTGTAAAACACCAAAAGCAATGGCAACAAAAGCCAAAATTGACAAATGGGATCTAATTAAACTAAAGAGCTTCTGCACAGTAAAAGAAACTACCATCAGAGTGAACAGGCAATCTATAGAATGGGAGAAAATTTTTGCAACCTACTCATCTGACAAAGGGCTAATATCCAGAATCTACAATGAACTCAAACAAATTTGCAAGAAAAAACAAACAACACCATCAAACAGTGGGTGAAGGATATGAACAGACACTTCTCAAAAGAAGACTTTACTTTCAAAAGCAGGTTTGATTTGACCTGTAGGCTCTTGTTAGCTGCCCTATTGTCTAGATTCCTAACAAGATCTTACCAAGTCAGATCTTGCCTGGACCATAACATTAACTTCCTATCTATGAAAAATATATTTGTATCTTCATTAATATATTCAAGAATTTTTATGTAATATCTAATGAATACCAGGCATCAATCATGTCTTGCAGATACAGTGACAAAAAAAGATGACTTTTCCTCTAGGAGTTTTTGTCTATGACACAGATGATAAATAAATAATGAAGCGAGTAAATAAGATAATGAAAAATCATTTAAAGTGTATAAAGGAATTAAATACCATGATGTAAAAGGGGGTCACAGAGGCAGGAGCACAACTATTAATAGGGTGGTCAAGGAATGATTTCTGAAGAAAGTGACATTTAAGCCGAAACCTGAATGATGAAAAATAAGTGAGCCATATCACGAACCAGGAGAAGAACACTTTAGGAAAGGGTTCTGTTTCTCCGAGAACCCTAACTGATACATTATTCTCTTAACCAAATTTTAAGTGCATAACACAGTATTGTTAACTATAGGCATGATGTTGTACAGCCGATTTCTGAAACTTATTAATATTTCCTAAATGAAACTCTATGCTTGTTGATGTAACTCCCCATTTCCCCTTCTCCCAGCCTCTGGAAACCACCATTCCACTCTTTTACTGGACAAATTTGATGATTTTAGGTACTCATATAAATGGAATGATCCAGCATTTGTTCTTCCGAGACTGATTTATTTAACTTAGCATAATGTCCTTGACGTTTATCCATGTTATTGCATATTGCAGAATTTCCTTCTTTTTAAAGGCTGAATAATATCCATTACATGTATATACTACATTTTCTTTTTTTTTTTCGTCTGTTAAGGGGCACTTAGGTTGTTTCCACATCTTGCCTATTGTGAATAGTGCTGCAGTGAACATGGGAGTATAAATATATCTATGAGATCTTGATTTCAATTCTTTTGGATAAATACCCTGAAGTGGGATTGCAGATCATATGGTGATTCTATTTTTAATTTTTGAGAAAACTCCATAATGTTTTCCATAATGGCTGCATAAGTTTGTGTTTCCATCAACAGTTTACAAGGGTTGTTATTTCTCTACATCCTCACCAACATTGATAATAGACATTCTGACAGGTATCAGATGATACCTCATTGTGGTTTATATTTGCATTTCTCTGATGATTAATGACATTGAGCATCTTTTCATATAGCTGTTGGCCATTTGTATGTCTTTTTGGAAGAAATTTCTATTCAAGTCTTAAGCCCGTTTTAAAATCAAGTTATTAGTCTTTCTGCTATTGAGTTGTAGAAATTACTTACACATTTCAGATATTAACCATTCATCAGATACATAGTTTGCAAATATTTTCTCCTATTTCATAGATTGCCTTTTCATTCTGTTAAATATTTCTTTTGATGTGCAGAAGATGTTAGTTCAATGTAGTCCCACTTGTCTATTTTTGCCTGTGATTTTGGTGCCATGTCCATGAAATCATTGCCAAGATTAATTTCATGAAGGCTTTCCCCTATATTATCATCTAAGAATTTATGGTTTCAGATCTTATGTGTGGCTTTTTAAACCATTGTGAGTTGCTTTTGTGTATGGCATAAGATATTGTTCAAATTTCATTCTTTTATATGTGAATATCCAGTTTTCCCAATATTATTTGTTGAAGAAACTACCTTTTCCCCATTGTGTATGCTTGGCAGTATTGTTGAAGACTGTGTATTTATGGATTTATTTTTGAGTTCTGTACTCTCTTCCATTTGCCTTAGATAACTGTCTTTATGCTAGCACCATACTGTTTTACTTACTGTAGCATTGTAATACATTTTGAGATCATGAAGTGTGATGCTCCAGCCTCGCTCTTCTTTCTCAAGATTGATTTGACTATTTTGGGGTCTTCTGTGTTTCCTTATGAAATTTAGAGTGTTTTTTTTTCCGTTTCTGTAAAAATACTATTGGGATTTTTGATGAAAATTATATTGAATCTGTAGATTACTTTGGATTATATGAACATTTTAACAAAATTAATTCTTCCAATCTGTGAACACAAAATATCTTTTCATTTCTTTGTGTCTTCTTTAATGTTGTTCATCAGTGTTTTGTAGCTTTCAGTGTATAAGTCTTTCATCACCTTAGTTAAGTTTATTCCTATTTTATTCTTTTTGATGCTATTGTAAATGGAATTGCTTTCTGAATTTTCAGATAATTTATTTTTACTCTATAGATATATAATTAATTTTTATATATTTATTTTTTAAAAAAATTAATAGAGATGGGGTCGCTATATATTTCCCAGGCTAGACTTAAACTCCTGGGATCAAGCCATCCTTCACACTCAGCCTCCTAAGTAGCTGGGACTACAATATATGTTGATTTTGTATCCTTCAGCTTTACTAAATTTGTTTATTAGTTCTCACAGTTTTTTGGTCGAGTCTTTAGGGTTTTCTAGATGTAAGATTATGTCATTAGCAAAGGGGGACCATTTTACTTCTTCTTTTCTGATTTGGATGCCTTTTGTCTCTTTTTCTTGCCCAATTGCAGGAAAGTCTACCTAAGACATCTAGTACTATGTTAAATAGAAGTAACAAGAGAGGGCATTCTTGCTTTGTTCCTGATCGTAGAGCTTAAAACAATTTTCAGATTTTTTGCTGTTAACTGTGATGATAGCTGTGGATTCTTTATATATGGTCATTATTACGTTGAAATAATTTTATTCTATTTCTAGTTTGTTGAGAGCTTTTACCATGGAAAGGTACTAAATTTTGCAAAATGCTTTTTCTGCATCTGTTGAAATTATCATATGATTTTCATTTTTTCTTCTGTTAATTTAGAATATCACATTACTTGATTTTCATATGTTGAACCATCCATGTATCTCAGGGACAAATCCTTCATGGTCATGGTATATGACCTTTTAATATGCTGTTGAATTCAATTTGTTAGTATTTTAAAACAATTTTCTTCTCTATATTGATTAGAGATATTTGCCTGTAGTTTTCTTTTTTTGAGGTGTTTTTGTCTGGCTTTGATATCAGGGTAATGCTGGCCTCATAAAATGAGTTCAGAAGTGTTTCCCCCTCTTCAAGTTTTTGGAAGACAGGCAATAGTGACTGCCAACCCAAACCTCCATCTCTGTTTTCACTCTTCCCCCTACAGCTACATTTTGCCAGGTCAGTGCGCTGAGACTGGCAAAACAGAAACCAGTCCACTGTGAAGTCTTTGAAGGAAAGTTGGGATGCTGGATGCATGGACCAACTCTTTTCCTCCTCAGGGAGTAGCTGGGAGCTGGAATTTTCCCTCTGCTCATGCCATTCTGAGCTGAGGGGCAAAGCTATGGCAACTATGCCCCACACTGCTGTTTTTGTTCTCCCCCATTTGGCTAGATTATGCTCGTCCCATCAGGGCTCCTAGATTGGCAAGACAGAACCCAGTCCTCTGGGATGCTTCTATGGAAAAGTTGGGGCACTTATGTGTGAACCAATTCTTTTCCTTACCTGAGAGAAGTTAGGATCTGGGGGAGGGTGCCAGTGGTCTCTTTCCAATCAATCTTATGGCCCTATGTCAGGTGTGAGAATTTTGGTGGGAGGGTGTTCTGAATCTTCCTACTAGCTTCCATGAGTCTGGTTTTGTGTTTGCCCAGGGTACAAGAGCCTTTCAATTAGTTTCTCACAAAGGGTATCTGTCTGTGAATTGTTGCTGAATTGTTGTGTTCATAGGGGAAAAGATAGTCTAGAGCTTTCTACTTTGTCATCTTGCTGATATTACTCTTTATGTATATTTTTAAAATATTATTATGGCTGCTGGATAATGAATGAAAAGGGAGAAGCAAGAATGCAAGTAAGTAGATTACAAGTTTCTGCAATGGCTCAGATGAGAGATACTAAGAATGGTTATAGACAAGAGGTTGGATTTGATATGAATATTGGAAATAGAAAAATAGGAATTGCTAATGTATTGGATATGGCAGTAAGGGGAAGAGAAGAGTCAAAGATAACTCCCAGATTTTTAATTGAGTATCTGAGTGACTTGTAGTAATATGTATTGGGATTAAGAGGAGCAAGAGAGAAATGAATGGGGGTGTAATGAATCAAGAGTTCTGCTTTAGATAAGTTGAGTTTAGAATGCCAATGAGAATTTAAGTGGAAATATAAAATAGGAAATTGGATAAGTGTTTGTAGTTCATGGAAAAGTTCTGAGCTACAAGTTTAATTTTTGGTGGTATCAGCACATAGATGGTGTTTAAAATATTGGACCAGGCACCTATTTCTGTATTTACCCCTCCATTGTAAACAAATAAAAATACATATGAAACAATGGTTTACAGAAATTGGATGACTGACTCCTGAGAGAGGGAAAACAAACATGGTGAATTCTAGAATTGATACAGCTTACTATCTTAAGATAATATTTAGGATACAGTGGAGGGAGGAGAAATACAAACAGAGCCTGGCAGTTTCCCTGAGTCAAGGAAGCTAAGTTGAGAATGCAGAAAGAAATTCATTGAGCAGCACACTAAAGAGAAGTGAGGTGATGAGAAAGAGCTCTAGAAATAAGGAAAGGTTTTCTTCTTGAGTCTTTAGCTGAATACATGTTAGTGCTTATATGTGAGAAAGCTACCTGAGCCTGGAGAAACAGGCACAAATTCTTTGATATTTCTCTCCCCAGGAGGTAGAGCTTACAGTGGATAAACCTGGCAGATAGCATCTTAATCAAGTGATTGAAGTTAACCTCATCAGTACTAGGATATGTTGATATCATGTACCTCCTGATATGATATGATGAGAAGGCCACTTATTCTTTGTGGTATTATTCCCAGAATTCTATAACACAGTGTAATCATAATAAGCCATCAGACAAACTTACAGTGGGGACCATTTTACAAAATTCATGATCTGTGTTCTTCAGAAGTGTCAAAGTCATGAAAGACAAGGAAAAACTGAGGAGCTGTCACAGGTGGGAGGGGATTAAAGAGATATAACAACTAAATTCACTGTGGTACAGGCATACTTTGAAGATATTGTGGGTTTGGTTCTAGACCACTGCAATAAAGCAAATTTCACAATAAAGTGAGTCATATAATATTTTAGGTTTCCCAGTGCATGTAAAAGTCATAACCTATTAAGTGTGCAATAGCATGATATTTAAAAAATCATATATATCATATTTACAAATACTGTATTGCTAAAAATGTTAATGATTATTTGAGCCTTTACTGATGGAAAGGCTTGCCTCAATGTTGATGGCTACTGATTGATCAGGGTGGTGATTGCTGAAGGTTGGAGTGGCTGTGGCAATTTTTAACAAGACAACAGTGAAGTTTGCCTCATTGACTGATTCTTCCTTTCATGAAAAATTTCTCTGTTGCATGTAATGCTGTTCGATAGCATTTTACCTAAGTAGGCCTTTTTTTTTTTTTTTTTCAAAATTGGAGTCAATCCTCTCAAACTCTGCTGCTGCTTTATCAACTAAGTTTATGGAACATTCCCAGTGTGTTACTTACCTCAACTCTTAGCTTGTTGGGGACGGTAACCGGGACCCAGTGTCTGCTCCTGTCACCTTCGCCTCCTAATCCCTAGCCACTATGCGTGAATGCGTCTCCATCCACGTTGGCCAGGCTGGTGTCCAGATTGGCAATGTCTGCTGGGAGCTCTACTGCCTGGAACATGGCATCCAGCCCGATGGCCAGATGCCAAGTGACAAGACCATTGGGGGAGGAGATGACTCCTTCAACACCTTCAGTGAGACGGGTGCTGGCAAGCATGTGCCCCGGGCTGTGTTTGTAGACTTGGAACCCATGGTCATTGATGAAGTTTGCACTGGCACCTACCGCCAGCTCTTCCACCCTGAGCAGCTCATCACAGGCAAGGAAGATGCTGCCAATAACTATGCCCGAGGGCACTACACCATTGGCAAGGAGATCATTGACCTTGTGTTGGACCGAATTCGCAAGCTGGCTAACCAGTGCACTGGTTTTCAGGGCTTCTTGGTTTTCCACAGCTTTGGTGGGGGAACTGGTTCTGGGTTCACCTCCCTGCTCATAGAACGTCTCTTAGTTGATTATGGCAAGAAGTCCAAGCTGGAGTTCTCCAATTACCCAGCGCCCCAGGTTTCCACAGCTGTAGTTGAGCCCTACAACTCCATCCTCACCACCCACACCACCCTGGAGCACTCTGATTGTGCCTTCATGGTAGACAATGAGGCCATCTGTGACATCTGTTGTAGAAACCTCAATATCGAGCGCCCAACCTACACTAACCTTAACCACCTTATTAGCCAGATTGTGTCCTCTATCACTGCTTCCCTGAGATTTGATGGAGCCCTGAATGTTGACCTGACAGAATTCCAGACCAACCTGGTACCCTACTCCCACATCCACTTCCCTCTGGCGACATATGCCCCTGTCATTTCTGCTGAGAAAGCCTACCATGAACAGCTTTCTGTAGCAGAGATCACCAATGCTTCCTTTGAGCCAGCCAACCAGATGGTGAAATGTGACCCTCGCCATGGTAAATACATGGCTTGCTGCCTATTGTGCCATGGTGATGTGGTTCCCAAAGATGCCAATGCTGCCATTGCCACCATCAAGACCAAGCGTAGCATCCAGTTTGTAGATTGGTGCCCCACTGGCTTCAAGGTTGGCATCAACTACCAGTCTCCCACTGTGGTGCCTGGTGGAGACCTGGCCATGGTACAGAGTGCATGCTGAGCAACACCACAGCCATTGCTGAGGCCTGGGCTCGCCTGGACCACAAGTTTGACCTGATGTATGCCAAGCGTGCCTTTGTTCACTGGTACGTGGGTGAGGGGATGGAGGAAGGCGAGTTTTCAGAGGCCCGTGAAGACATGGCTGCCCTTGAGAAGGATTATGAGGAGGTTGGTGTGGATTCTGTTGAAGGAGAGGGTGAGGAAGAAAGAGAGGAATACTAATCCATTCCTTTTGGCCCTGCAGCATGTCGTGCTCCCAGAATTTCAGCTTCAGCTTAGCTGACAGACATTAAAGCTTTCTGGTTAGATTTTCATTTGGTGATCATGTCTTTTCCATGTGTACCTGTAATGTTTTTCCATCATGTCTCAAAGTACAGTCATTAACATAAAAAAAAAAGTTTATGTTATATTTTAGATCATTTGTTGGCATTTCAACAATGTTCACAGCATCTTCACTAAGAGTCGATTTTGTCTCAAGAAACCACTTTTTTTTCCCATCCAGAGGAAGAAGCTTCTCATCCATTCAAGTTTCATTATGAGATTGCAGCAATTCAGTCACATCTTCAGGCTCCACTTCTAATTGTAGTTCACTTGCTATTTCCACATCTGCAGTTACTTCCTCTAATAATGTCTTGAATACTCAAAGTCATCAACTTCTTCAAACTCCTGTTATGGTTGACATTTTGACCTTCTCTCATAAATCACTAATGCTCTTAATGACATCTTAGAATGGTTAATTATTTCCCAAAGTTTTTCAACTTGTTTTGTCAAGATCCATCAGAAGATTCACAATTTATATGGAAGCTATAGCCTTATGAAATGTACTGCTGAACAAATGAGACTTGAAAATTGAAATTTCTCTTTGATCCATGGGCTACAGAGTGGATACTGAGTTTGCAGGTATAAAAACAACATTAATCTTCTTGCATCTCTCCGTGAGAGCTCTTGTTTGACTAGGTGCACTGTCAATGAGCAGTAATGTTTTGAAAGCAATCTTTTTTATAAGCAGTAAGTCTCAACAATGGACTGAAAACATTTAGTAAATCATGCTATAAGCAGATGTGCTATCATCTAGGCTTGTTGTTTCATTTATAGAGCACAGGTAGAGTAAATTTAAGGGCTCTAGGATTTTCAAAATGAAATGGTAATGAGGATTAGTGGCAACTTAAAGTCACCAACTGCTTTAGCCCCTAACAAAAGAGTCAGCCTGTCTTTTGAAGCTTTGAAGTTAGGCATTAACTTCTCTCTAGCTATGAAAGTCCTAGATGGCATCCTCTTCCGTTATAAGGCTGTTTGGTCTACACTGATTATTTTTTGTTTATTGTAGCCACCTTCATCAATAATTGTAGGTAGATCTTCTGGATAACTTGCTGAAGCTTCTCCATCAGCACTTGCTGTTTCACCTTGCATTTTTATGTTATGGTGATGGCTTCTTTCCTTACGTCTCATTAGTCAACCTTTGCTAGCCTCCAACCTTTCTTCTTCTTCTTTTTTTTTTATTATACTTTAAGTTTTAGGGTACATGTGCACAATGTGCCGGTTAGTTACATATGTATACATGTGCCATGTTGGTGTGCTGAACCCAGTAACTCGTCATTTAACATCAGGTATATCTCCTAATGCTATCTCTCCCCCCTCCCCCCACCCCACAACAGGCCCCGGTGTGTGATGCTCCCCTTCCTGTGTCCATGTATTCTCATTGTTCAGTTCCCACCTATGAATGAGAACATGTGGTGTTTGGTTTTTTGCCCTTGTGATAGTTTGCTGAGAATGATGGTTTCCAGCTTCATCCATGTCTCTACAAAGGACACGAACTCATCATTTTTTATGGCTGCATAGTATTCCATGGTGTATATGTACCACATAACGGCTAGCTTCCAACCTTTCTCCTGCAGCTTCCTCACATCTCTCTGCCTTCTTGGAATTAAAGAGAGTTTGTGTCTTGCTCTGGATTAGGTTTTGAATTAAAGGAATGTTGTGGCTGGTTTGATCTCCTATTTAGACCACTAAAAGTTTCTCCATATCAGCAATAAGGCTGTATTGCTTTCTTATCACTCATGTGTTCACTAATTTCTTTCAATAACTTCTCCTTTCACAACTTGGCTAACTCTTTGGCACAAGAGGCCAATCTTTTGGCCTATCTCAAACATGCCTTCCTCATAAGCTTAATCATTTCTAGCTTTTGATTTAAAATGATAGTTATGTGACTCTAACTTGAACACTTAGAGGCCATAGTAGGGTTATTCATTGGCCTAATTTTAATATTGTATCTTAGGGAATAGGGAGGCCTGAAGAGAGGGAGAGAGAGATGAAGGAACGGCTGGTTGATGGAGCCAGTCAGAATGTACATAACATTTACCTGTTAAGTTCACTATCTTTTATGGACATAGTTCGTGGTGCCACAAAACAATTACGATAGTAATATCAAATATTACTGATCACAGGTCACCATAACAGATATACTAATAATGATAAAGTTGGAAATATTTCAAAAATTACCAAAATGTGATACAAACACATGAATTGAGCACATGCTGTTGGAAAAATGAAGCTGATAGAGTTGCTCAATACAGGGTTGCCACAAGTCCTCAATTTGTAAAATACATGGTATTTGTGCAGCGCAATAAAGTGAAGTGCAACAAAACGAGGTGTGGCTGTGTCCTAGAACATAAATATGTACTTTAGTGGAAAAGGTGGATAAACTAAAACAATTTTGTAGTTTAGTTCAGTGGTCCCCAACCTTTTTGGCACCAGGGACTGGTTTCGTGGAAGACAATTTTTCCAGACTCAGGCCAGGGTGGAATTGTTTTGGAATGATTCAAGTGCATTACATTTATTGCATACTTTATTTATATTATTATTACATCATAATATATAATGAAATAATTACATATATCACCATAATGTGGAATCAGTAGGAGCCCTAAGCTTGTTTTCCTGCAAATAGATTGTTTTATCTGGGGGTGATGGGAGACAGTGACAGATCATCAAGCATTAGAATCCCAGGAATGTGCAACCTAGATCCATTGCATGTGCATTTCACAATAGGGTTCAAACTCCTATGTGAATCTAATGCCACCATTGATCTAACAGGAGGTGGAGCTCAGGAGGTAATGCCAGAGATGAGGAATAGCTGTAAATACAGATGAAGCTTTGCCTTCTCAACTGCTGCTCACCTCCTGCTGTGCGTCCCGGTTCCTAACAGGCCATGGATGGGTACCAGTCCATGACCCAGGGGTTGGAGACCCCTGGTTTAGTTAATGGTAGTGTATGGTTTTTATATTCTTACTTTTAATAATTATACTTTGGTTATGTGAGATATTAACATTAAGGGGACGTTGGATAAAGACCATATGAGAATTTACTATCTTTGTAACTTTTCTTTAAGGCTAAAATTACCTCACCATGATTTTTTTCTTTAATAAAGCAATATTGAGACTTTAGAAGCAATAGGGCAAGGCATTGATATATCACTGGTGGGAGCCTCTCTAATTTCCCACAGGACAAAAAAGTCAATGATATTCATTTGGTCTCTTAATATAAAAGTACTGGGGACCTATAGCGGGCCAAGCATTATACTATGACTAGGTTATAGAAGTAAATGAAAGATATATGCTCTTTCAGTTGGCAAGGGGGTTTATGAGTGTTATATCCACAGGTAGAGGGAGGCTGAGAAGGTTTGGATTTGTGATAATAAAATCGGGTTGGAGTCTCTGCTACAAATATCTTTGCATCATCTTCAAAGTTGATGTGTCCTGGGAAAACCAAGTTTTCATGAAAAAGTAAGGTTTATAATGGAAATGCTTTAAATCAGCAATGTTTATACATTTTTTTAAACTCGTCTTTGATGGTCATATGTGTTGTAAGCTTTTTTCAATGCCTGAGTGTTTCTGGCTTGATAGAGTAGGTAGCGTAGGTATTAGGGCAGGCTTGCTAACATCCTCAGGTATGTGCTGAATATTCTCAATGCATTTGTCAGTATTAATGTTGTGAAATCCATATCTGTGTGTATTCTGTACCACTTTCAATATTCCTTTTCTATATCTCCTATTAAGAAAAACATTTAAGAGAGCTACTTTTCTGTCTTTATTCCTTTGTGAATAGTAATATTTAAAGGGATTATTACAGATATTAAAATAAGTAGACTGAATATTGAATGAGTGAGAATAGAGGTATTTATGAGATTTGTATGCTTCTGGCATCCTCCTGGGAATTTTTTTTCCAGCAGCATAGCCTGTAAATATTTAATATTTTCCAGATATTATCCTCAGAGCCTCAATCCATTAACTCAAGTGCATGCTACAAAAACATATTTGTATACTATTGACAGTACATGAAAAGAGGAAGGAAAGAAAATGAAATGATTTTTCTATCAAGTACCATGATTTAGTCATTTCTGTGTTCTCTATGGATTTAGCTCAGTGCTTGGCAATACTGGTAGGTGATAAATTCAATTTTGTTGAAGTGAGTGAGTAAATGAATATATTAACCATTGTTTCATTTAAAGGGTGTAAAGCATAATAACCTTTTCTTTTGTGTCAGAGAATGTTTTCCACAAAGCCACCAGGGTACCTGGTGCTGTTCATGTATTTCAGAAATGTTTCTTGTGTACCAGTAGATGGCAGTCCTTCTTCACGTCCTATCTTTCTTTAAAAGAAAAAAAGGATGAAAGAGATTGAAAAAGAAAGAGATGAAAATGGAAACAGATAAAGATAGTTTTTTAAATTCAGCACATTGTGTTTATTTAATTTTTATGAATAGATTTTAAAAAATTAACTGTTAAGAAGCAGGGAAAGTTAAAATGTGTCTTAAGTTAATTGGAAATAAACCATCAAACGCAATTGACTTTGTGCTAGCTCATCAAATTTCATACCAATGAATTACATTTTGATTAAATGTCACTGTGTATTTCTTTCTGAAAATAAGCTTATCAATAGCCACATGGCCTGTGTGATTTTCAACGTAAATGTCAGCCAGTTTCTTGCCATGCTGGACACTCAAATGATGCAGACTTCAGTTTAAGTTTGGGGGCTCCACTTTGTTATCAGCCTGGTACCTTGGAGAGTATTTAGGGAAACCGTCAAACTATTTTTCTCACCAAAACGTTTAAAATTTGTTGAGCAGCTCAGAATGCTGCAGATATCTGGACAACTGCATGCCCTCGCACTGAAGCATAGGATGGAAAACCGACCCAACAGGAGCTCATTATACATTTCCACAGAGATTCCCAATATGTGAAACATGCCGATGCATTCATATTGCATCTCCACTACAGTAGTTGCTAGGGAGCAAACTGAGTTCACCAGTTTCATTTCCTTTGGAAAGTATCTTTATTTGAAACCTAAATCATGGGTTCCAGAATAATTTCCTCAACCTCTTCCCCTGATTACATTCATCATTTTTCCATCTACTTCAGCCCTGTCACACTGACCCTACTCCAATGAGAAAAAACATGACTAAAGCCCAGGGAACAACTCAGAATTTCAAATACTGGGTTTAGTTTCCAATGGATTTCTTTTTTGTATTCTCTTACTTTTGTGTTCTACAATTTGCCAACAGCTGAAAGAACCACAACCTTAAATGTTTTCTAATCTACAGCCATTGTTAACCACAGAATTTAGGACATGATAAAAACACAGGTTCCTTGTATAGGGGTAGCTTCTCACATATTTCTCATGAAATTTATTCTCTAAAAATAAATTGCTATATGGATAGTTTGACTAACTTTATATTATACTCAGGCTCTGTATTTTTATTTTGCTTTAGTGTTTGAGGGATGTATAAAACCAACTACACACAATTGCACACACACACACAAATTGCAAAAGACACACCAAGACACTTTATGTTTACTGTGATTATATATGTCTTCCTTTGACGTAACTGGAAATAACAGTCAGAATGCACACAATTCAACCACTGAAGCTACATACTGAATAATTTTTAATGTTTGTGTATGTGTTTCCCCATTAGGCTTTGAGACAGATGAGGGCAGAAAAGTTTTCACATTAATTTATTTATGCAATCATGCTTTTACTAATCATTTGTTGGATACTTAACATATGAAAAACTGGGGATAAAATAATGAATAAGACAAAGACTCTGTCTTTATGAAACTTAAAGTATGTAAAGGTAAAGCAGACACATAAAAAAAGGTTAGTAAATCAGACTCCATGATGAAAATATTAATTGGCTATAGTGAAGGAGCAAAATATAATGAGTGTCTTTCTATCTATGGGGATGTAAGGAGGAGTGATGGAAAGCTTTATTAGAGAGAGATTTGAACTCCTTTGAAACGTGTACAAGAGTTCATTAGGTCAACTGTGAGGTAGAATTTTCTACACAGAAGGACTAATATGAGAATTACAGAAGGTTATACATAGCATGTTTTATTTGAAAACTGAAATTAGTTGATGTGGGGTAGTACATTACAGTAGTACTGTAAATGTAGGGATGTTGTAAAGGAATCTTTGTATATCGTACCAAGGAATTTGAACTTTATTGTCTGGGTACTTGGAGTCAGTCAGATATATGTTTTTTTTTATTTATTTATTTATTTATTTTTTTTGAGACGGAGTCTCGCTCTGTCGCCCAGGCTGGAGTGCAGTGGCGGGATCTCGGCTCACTGCAAGCTCCGCCTCCCGGGTTCACGCCATTCTCCTGCCTCAGCCTCCCAAGTAGCTGGGACTACAGGCGCCCGCCACTACGCCCGGCTAATTTTTTGTATTTTTAGTAGAGACGGGGTTTCACCGTTTTAGCCGGGATGGTCTCGATCTCCTGACCTCGTGATCCGCCCGCCTCGGCCTCCCAAAGTGCTGGGATTACAGGCGTGAGCCACCGCGCCCGGCCAGATATATGTTTTATGTAGGGCTCTGACAAGATCGCATTTACCTTTTTGAAATTTCACTCTGTTAGAGGTGTAATGGATAGACTGAGGAGTAGGAATTTCACAACAAGATCAGCTTGGAGACTTTCCAGTATTTTAGGCAAGAGATAATGAGGGGCCTGACTTCAGTAGAATTAGATGAATCCAGAAGAAACAATAACAAGCTCAGTTTTATATAGGTTTAGATTGAGGTGCCCATTGGGCTTCTATAGAAGAGATATATGACAGCATTTGTTATCAAAGGAAAGCTCTAAATTAGAACTGTGGCCTTGGGATCTATCAGCATGTGAGTGGTAACTGAAGCCCTGGATATGTATGAGATCACCTAGTGAGGATAAGAAGAGAAAAGAAAAAAAGAAGAAAAAATGAAAGAAGAAAGGACAAGACATTGAAAAATATAGCATTTGAGGTATAAATAAGATACAAAGGACCTCTGAGATTAAATATATAAAAATAGCAGAAAGAGAAGAAGGATAGAATGGACATAGAGAAACCAAAGTAGGAACAAGCAGTCAAAATGTCAAATGCAGCAAACAGGCACAGTAGGTTAAACATTGACTGTAGTCCATTAAATTTGGCAATTAGGAAGTAATAAGGATCTTTTCCAGAGTGGTTTATATGGAGTGTTAGGTTAGAAGTCAGGTGATTGAAGGTTGAAAAGGAATGGAAAGAGAAGGAAGAGAAGATAAGTATGTAGATTTTTCTTTCAAAGAGTTTTTGTATGAAGGGAAGAAGAAAGAACTATCACCAGCATGTAGCACAAGACCTAGCACTGAGTGGGTGTTAATATACACTTGTGGAATTGAATTTATCAAGTACACTTTGTCATCACTACAATGTCATCACTACCTCACACTACAAAGTGTGATCCATGTAACACCCAGAAATATTCATCTTCTATACTGATATGAGTTTTAGGATGCAAACCTGTATAATCAGGTAAAACAGCTAGTGTGTAGTTTAGTGAAAGGTTAAACCTTACGGTCATCTAAGGGGAAGGAAAGTGGAATTTATAGCTCTACCTTTAAGAATTCTCTTCAAGCTCACCAGATAGATGGGGTTTTTCCTTGTCTTAGTTTGGTGCTATAGGTTGCGAGCAGGATAATTCCATGGGCCGTCTAAAGCAGGACTGAGGATGTGAAGACTAGCTGACAGTGAAGAGGAACTATTAACTCATAAATTATGAGAACTGGGAGTTTTCAGAGATTATCTGGCTACAAGTTATTCAAAACCTTATTTTTGTTTTCTTAATGGAATCTCCTTTTACCAAACCCATTAGTATGTGTAATCTGAATGTATGATACTGACAAAAGGGTAAGACAATTAATATAAATTTATGCTATATATTTATTTTTATAACAGTTAAATATTTTGAACATGATAAAACAATGAGTCTGTTTTGATGAACACAAGTGTCTAAAATTCTAAATTTGGTTGCTAGAGATGACAGTTGGAATTACGTTAGCCTTAGTATCCAATTTATTTCTGTATTTTGCTTTGTTGGTACTGTTCAGAGAAAATCCTGAATCATACAAGTTAATTTTTTAAAATAATAACTACTTTTAAAAACAGATTATTATGAAATCCTGGGACACTCATCAAATAAGCTATCAAGAATGATAGGGACTCTTAATGCTTGTCTATTCATCCAGGGTTATAATTACGACTATTAAGAAGCACCTGCTAGGCCAGGCGTGGTGGCTCATGCCTGTAATCCCCGCAGTTTGGGAGGCCGAGGCGGGTGGATCATGAGGTCAGGAGATCGAGACCATCCTGGCTAACACGGTGAAACCCTGTCTCTACTAAAAATATAAAAAAATAGCCGGGCGTGGTGGTGGGCGCCTATGGTCCCAGCTACTCGGGAGGTTGACGCAGGAGAGTGGCTTGAACCCAGGAGGCAGAGGTTGTAGTGAGCTGAGATCGTGCCACTGCACTCCAGCCTGGGCGACAGAGCAAGACTCCATCTCAAAACAAAACAAAGAAACAAAAAAACCAAGAAGCACCTGCTAAATGTATTGCAATTTGAGGTTTAGATTTAACTTAATAAAGACTCACCCTTCCAAAAATTTTTTATTGAATGATTATTCTACAATAGAATACATATACAAATATGAATAAAGACTCAGTCTGTGTCTTTATTTAAGACACAGAAATTTACAATAAAGATGAAAAATTAAACATAGAAGCAATAAAAAATAAAAGGTGGAATGACAGAAGCATGCAATAAAGTAACGACTACAGTGGAGAAACAAAAAAGAAAGCAGATCTATCTGTGAGACTGCAGAAGAGAATTATATGCAGCTTCACAGAGGTGACACTTGTACTGTTGTGAAGAGTGTACAGGTGTTTACTAGGTTGAGAAAGTTTGAATATTAGAATATTAGTAGGTAATAAAAGATATGTTGTGTAAGTGATTGCAGAAGTCTTCCATTATGTAACAATTGCTGGTATTCTTGTCAGGTATACAAAAGTGAATCAACAAACAACCAATTCTTATACAGTAATCATAAAACCATAGTATGATATTATTCAATATGATGTATTATGCATTTACTTGTACAGATTATAGAGGGATCTCAAAAGCTTCTGGAAAATGAAATTAAAAGATAAAAAAATCTTAAATGTTCTCAGCATGAGCTTCATCAGGCTCAAGACACTTTTGTAAATAATGATGGCAGCTATTTAGTCCATCCCTAGAAAACCGAGAGTCTTGGAACATAACTATGTCAATGCAGTCTTTTTTACATTATTAAATAAAGAAAAATGGATGCTCTTTTTAGATTTTTTAAGATTAGGAAACAAAAAGAAGTCAGAATGAGCCAAATCAGTACTGTAAAGTGGATCTCTAATGATTTCTCATTAAAAATCTCACAAAATTGCTCTTGTTTCATGAAAAGAATGAGCAAGAGCATTGTCGTGGTGGAAAAGGACACTCTGATGAAGTTTTCCCAAATATTTTTCTGCTATATAAGCTTTATCTAAGTTTCTCAAAACACTATTACAATAAGCAGATGTTATCATTCTTTGAACCTCTGGAAAGCAGTAAGCAAAATGTCCTGAGCATCCAAAAACACTGTTGCTATGACTTTTGCTCTTGACCAGCCTGCTTGTGCTTTGACTGGACTACTTCCACCTCTTGGTACCCATTGCTTTGATTGTGCTTTGTCTTGCGGATCATACTGGTAAAGCCGTGTTTCATCTCCTGTTACGATTCTTCAAAGAAATGTGATATGGTTTGACTCTGTGTCCCCACCCAAATCTTACCTTGAATTGCAATAATCCCCACATGTCATGGGAGGTACTCAGTGGGAGATAACAAAATCATGGTGGGGGCCTTTCCCATGCTGTTCTTGTGATAGTGAATGAGTTTCATGAGATCTGGTGGTTTTATAAACCCTGCACATACTTTCTTGCCAGCTGCCATGTAAGATGTGAGTTTGTTCCTCATTCGCCTTCAGTGAATCAATTAAACCTCTTTCCTTTATAAATTACCCAGCCTCAGGTATGTCTTTATTAGTAGCATGAGAAGAGACTATACAGAATGCTTCTGGATCTTGGTCTCACTTGTATAAAATTTCCATTGAAAGCTCTGCTCTTATCTGCAAATGATCTGGGTACAAAGGTTTTGGCACTTATCAAGTGGAAACTTAGCTCAACTTTAATCCTACAGTCAGAATTGTGTGAGTGGAACTAGTTGAGATGTCTATACTGTTGGCTATTGTTTCTGCGGTTAGTGGTTGGTCCTCTTGAAATAGGGCACAGACAAGACAAACTTTTTTTTTCTTGAAATGTGGATGGTCTGCAACTTTGGGCTTTATCTTCAACATCATTTTGTCCCTTCTTACAAGTTATCCACTTGTAAACTGCTGATTTCTTTGGGTGCATTTTCCCTATAAGCTTTTTGTGAAAAAAGCATTAATGATTTCACCATTTTTCCATGCAAGCGTTACCATAAATTTGTTGTTTGTTTTAGCAGAATTCACAGGGGCTCTTTCAAACTGATGTCTTAACTTTCTTAGTGCCGTAAACAAGATCTTGTTCAGCCATGTTATAACAAGTTAGTATAAGCTGATTTCGGTGCAAAAAGTTTTGAAATTCTTTCTTCCTCCCTCCCTCCCTCCCTCCCTCCCTCCCTCCCTCCCTCCCTCCCTCCTTCCTTCCTTCCTTCCTTCCTTCCTTCCTTCCTTCCTTCCTTCCTTCCATCCTTGTCTTGTTCTGTTATCTAGGCTGGAGTGCAGTGGCTGATCTCAGCTCACTGCAACCTCTGCCTCCCCGGCTCAAGTGATTCTCCTGCCTCAGCCTCTTGAGTAACTGGGATTGCAGGTACCTGCTATCACGCCCAGCTAATTTTCATATTTTTAGTAGAGATGGGGTTTCACCATGTTGGCCAGGCTGGTCTCAAACTCCTGACTTCAAGTGATCCGCCAACCTCAGCCTCCTAAAGTGCGGGGATTACAAGTGTGAGCCACCCTGCTCAGACTCATGCATAGTTTCTTCATAGTGTGTTTTCCATGAACATTTTGAAGACACCTCGTACTACACCATAAAGAAAACAAACAAAGCAGGAAAACTCAAGCCCGATGGTTTGAGTATGTTGCTGAGTGCTTTAGTAGAATAACCTACATGTGAACAGACATACAGGCCTGAATTTAAATAAAAGGCCAGTGTCACAGTACAAGCATTATATATAGCTAATGATATATTTACACTAAGTTCAGATATATTAAATATGAGAGCAGGTTAATCTTCATTTTCAAAGTTTATACAAAAACACATTAATACACTGGAGATCAACAAGTGAAACTTTGGCTTGTGACATTTTCATGTTTGCTTATTCATTTCTTATTTAAGTATTTTAAAATACATTTAAACATTTAAAGATATATTTGTATACCCATGTTTATGGCAGTATTATTCACAATAGCCAAAAAGTGGGACCAACTCCAATTTCTAACAGTGGATGAATAAACAAAATGTGGTATATACATACAATGGACTATTATTCAGCCTTAAAAGGGAAGGAAATTCTGACCCATGCTTACAACATGGATTAATCTTAAGGACATTATGCTAAATGAAATAAACTAATCATAAAAAGACAAATATTTTATGATTCCACTTATGTGAGGTACTAGAGTAGTCAATACAAATTGAAGCAAATTAGAATATTTGCCAGAGGCTGAGGATGAAGGGAAATAGGGTGTTGTTGTTTAATGGTTATAGTTTCACTTTTGCAAGATGAAAAAGTTTTGGAGATTGGTGCACAGCAACATGAATATGTTTAACACTACTGAACTGTACACTTAAAATGGTTGTTGGTAAATTTTATGTTCTGTGTATTTTATCGTAACTAAAAATAAAAAATATTTAAATTTGTATAAACATTTATGAAATCCTGGCAGCTTCTCTGGAATACAATTTGAAAGCCACTGATTTCATTTCATCAATTTAGAGGTGAAACTACTGTAGAATACCTGACCATTCTGTCCATGTGTATCTAGAATTTCTAGAACTCTTTTCAGAGTTTTTTCCATAATAAATGCTTTCTTTTTATCTCACCTAGTCATCTGGAAAGTCTAGTACCAGCACTCTTACACATAAAGAAATGAGTACCCATTATGTCTGTGTTGATCTTTTCTTTGTTTTGTGAGATGAAAAAAAAATCATATTTGATCTTTTATTTTAAAAAGAAAGCCAGAAAAATGCAGCCTGCAAATATACATTTAGATTTAAGAAATATATTAATTTATTTCCATATCAATAATTTAAACAAATAAGAGTCTCTTTTTTAAACTGGGTGGCAGGGGGGTGGGTGGGTGGGAATCATTGCTTTCACTGGATGCTACTACTTTGAAACTGAAAGAATTAAAGTTTATTAAATAACTGCCATAATAATTACCAATTCCTTATCAAGCCTTCTTAATCATTGAAAATATATAATCAGAATATTTTGACCTATGTTTTGTGATCATTCTTTAAAAGTGTACCAAATTTAATAACATAATTATTAATGTAGATTTTTATTATTGTACTTTAAGTTCTGGAGTACATGTGCATAATGTGCAGGTTTGTTACATAGGTATACACGTGCCATGGTGGTTAGCTGCACCCATCAACCTGTCATCTACCTTGGGTATTTCTTCTAATGCTACCCCTCCCCTAGCACCTCACCCCACAACAGACCCCAGTGTGTGAAGTTCCCCTGCCTGTGTCCATGTGTTCTCATTGTTCAACTCCCACTTATGAGTGAGAACATGTGGTGTTTGGTGTTTGGTTTTCTGTTCTCTTGGTAGTTTGCTGACAATAATGGTTTCCAGCTTCATCCATATCCTGCAAAGGACATGAACTCATCCTTTTTATGGCTGCATAGTATTCCATGGTGAATATGTGCCAAATTTTCTTTATCCAGTCTATCATTGATGGGCATTTGGGTTGATTCCAAGTCTTTGCTATTGTGAACAGTGCCACGATAAACATATGTGTACATGTGTCTTTATAGTAGAATGATTTATAATCCTTTGGGTATGTACCCAGTAATGGGATGGCTGGGTCAAATGGTATTTCTAGTTCTAGATCCTTGAGGAATCATCACACTGTCTTACACAATGGTTGAAATAATTTATACTCCCACCAACCCTGTAAAAGCGTTCCTATTTCTCCACATCCTCTCCAGCATCTGTTGTTTCCTGACTTTTTCATGATCGCCATTCTAACTGGAGTGAGATGGTATCTCATTGTGGTTTTGATTTGCATTTCTGTAATGACCAGTGATGATGAGATTTTCTTCATGTTTCTTGACTGCATAAATGTCTTCCTTTGAGAAGTGTCTGTTCATATCCTTTGCCCACTTTTTGATGAGGTTTTTTTTTCTTGTAAATTTGTTTAAGTTCTTTGTAGATTCTGGATATTAGCCCTTTGTCAGATGGATAGATTGCAAAAATTTCCTCCCATATCTGTAGGTTGCCCTTTCACTCTGATGATAGCTTATTTTGCTGTGCAGAAGCCCCTTGGTTTAATTAGATCCCATTTGGCAATTTTGGCTTCTGTTGTCATTGCTTTTGGTGTTTTAGTCATGAAATATTTGCCCATGCTTATGTCCTGAATGGTATTGTGTAGGTTTTCTTCTAGGGTTTTCATGGTTTTAGGTCTTATATTTAAGTCTTTAATCCATCTTGAGTTAATTTTTGTTTAAGGTGTGAGGAAGGGATCCAATTTTATCTTTCTGCATATGGCTAGCCAGTTTTCCCAACACCATTTATTAAATAGGGAATCTTTCCCCATTGCTTGTTTTTGTCAGGTTTGTCAAAGATCAAATGGTTGTAGATGTCTGGTGTTATTTCTGGGGCCTCTGATCTGTTCTATTGGTCTATATATCTGTTTTTGTACCAGTATCATGCTCTTTTGGTTTCAGTAGCCTTGTAGTATAGTTTGCACTCAGGTAGTGTGATGCCTCCAGGTTTATTCTTTTTGCTTAGGATTGTCTTGACTATGCAGGCTCTTTCTTGGTTTCATATGAAATTCTAAGTAGTTTTTTTCCAATTCTGTGGAGAAAGTTATTGGTAGCTTGATGGGGATAACATTGAATCTATAAATTACTTTGGGAAATATGGCCATTTTGATGATATTGATTCTTCCTATCCATGAGCATGGAAAGTTTTTCTATTTGTAGAAAAACAAATTGAGCAGAGGTTTGTAGTCCTCCTTGAAGAGTTCCTTGACATCCTTTGTAAGTTGTATTCCTAGGTATTTTTTTTCTCTTTTTCGTAATTGTGAATGGGAGTTCACTCATGATTTGGCTCTCTGTTTGTCTGTTATTGGTATATAGGAATGCTTGTGATTTTTGCACATTGATTTTTGTATCCTGAGACTTTGCTGAAGTTGCTTATCAGCTTAAGAAAATTTTGGGCTGAGATGATGGGATTTTCTAAATATACAATCATGTCATCTGCAAACAGAGATGATTTGGCTTCCTCTCTTCCTATTTGAATATTCTTTATTTCTTTCTCTTTCCTGATTGCCCTGGACAGAACATCCAATACTATGTTGAAAATGAATGGTGAGAGACGGCATCCTTCTCTTGTGCCGGTTTTCATGGGAATGCTTCCAGTTTTTGCCCATTCAGTATGATATTGGCTGTGGGTTTGTCATAAATAGCTCTTACTATTTTTAGATATGTTCCATCAATACCTAGCTTATTGAGAGTTTTTTAGCATGAAGCGCTGTTGAATTTTTTTGAAGGCCTTTTCTGCCATCTATCGAGATAATCATGTGGTTTTTGTCATTGGTTCTGTTTGTGATGGATTATGTTTATTGATTTGTATATGTTGAACCAGCCTTGCATCCCAGGGATGAATCAAATTTGATTATGGTAGATAATCTTTTTGATGTGTTGCTGGATTCGGTTTGCCAGTATTTTATTGAGGATTTTCGCATTGATGTTCATCATGGATATTGGCCTGAAATTTTCTTTTTTTGTTGTGTCTCTGCCTGATTTAGGTATCAGGGTAAGTCTGGCCTCATAAAATTAGGGAGGATTCCCTCTTTTTCTATTGATTGGAATATTTTCAGAAGGAATGGTACTAGCTCCTCTTTGTACCTCTGGTAAAATTCAGCTGTGAATCCGTCTAGTCCTGGACTCTTTTTGGTTGATAGGCTATTAATTGCTGCCCCAATTTCAAACTTGTCATTGGTCTATTCAGGGATTCAACTTCTTCCTGGTTTAATCTTGGGAGGATGTATGTGTCCAGGGATTTATCCATTTCTTCTAGATTTTCTAGTTTATTTCCCTAGAAGTTTTTATAGTATTCTCTGATGGTAGTTTGTGTTCCTGTAGTATCCGTGGTGATATCCTTTTTATCATTTTTATTGCATCTATTGAATTCTTCTCTGTTTTCTTCTTTATTAGTCTGGCTAGCGGTGTATCTATCTTGTTGATCTTTTCAAAAAACCAGCTCCTGGATTCATTAATTTTTTGAAGGGGTTTTCATTTCTCCATCTCCTTTAGTTCTGCTCTGAAATTAGTTATTTCTTGTCTTCTGCTAGCTTTCGAATTTGTTTGCTCTTGCTTCTCTAGTTTTTTAATTGTGATGTTAGGGTGTCGAGTATAGATTTTTCCTGCCTTCTCTTGTGGGCATTTAGTGCTATAAATTTCCCTCTACACACTGCTTTAAATGTGTCCCAGAGATTCTGGTATGTTGTATCTTTGTTCTCATTGGTTTCAAAGAATATTTTATTTCTGCCTTCATTTTTTTATTTACTCTTTAGTCATTCAGGAGTAAGTTGTTCACTTTCCATGTAGTTGTGTTGTTTTGAGTGAGTTTCTTAATCCTGAGCTCTAGTTTGATTGCACTGTTGTCTGAGAGACTGTTTGTTATGATTTCTGTTGTTTAGCATTTGCTGAGGAGTATTTTGCTTCCATATATGTGGTCAGTTTTAGAGTAAGTGCGATGTGGTGCTGAGAAGAATGTATATTCTGTTGATTTGGGGTGGAGAGTTCTGTAGATGTCTATTAGGTCTGCTTGGTCCAGAGCTGGATATCCTTGGTAATTTTTTGTCTCATTGATCTATCTGATATTGACAGTGGGGTGTTAAAATCTCCCACTATTATTGATTGGGAGTCTCAGTCTCTTTGTAGGTCTCTAAGAACTTGCTTTATGAATCTCGGTGCTCCTATGTTGAGTTCATATATATTTAGGATAGTTAGTTCTTCATATTGCATTGATCCCTTTACCATTATGTAATGCCCTTCTTTGCCTCTTTTGATCTTTGTTGGTTTAAAGTCTGTTTTATCATAGACTGGGATTGCAACCCCTGCTTTTTTTTTCCTTTCCATTTGCTTGCTAAATGTTCCTACATCCCTTTATTTTGAGCCAATGTGTGTCTTTGCATGTGAGATGGGTCTCCTGAATATAGCACACCAACGGGTCTTGACTCTTTATCCAATTTGCCAGTCTGTGTCTTTTAATTGGGGCATTTAGCCCATTTACATTTAAGGTTAGTATTGTTATGTGTGAAAGGTTTGATCCTGCCATTATGATGCTAGCTGGTTATTTTGCCCATTAGTTGATGCCTTTTCCTCATAGCATCAGTGGTCTTTACAATTTGTTATATTTTTGCTGTGGCTGGTACCGGTTGTTCCTTTCCATTTTTAGTGCTTCCTTCAGGATCTCTTGTTATCTGGTGGTAACAAAATCTCTCAGCAATTTTCTTGTCTGTAAAAGATTTTATTTCTCCTTTGCTTATGAAGCATAGTTTGGCTGGATACGAAATTCTGGGTTGAAAATTCTTTAAGAATGTTGAATGTTGGACCCCACTCTCTTCTGGCTTGTAGCGTTTCTGCTGAGAGATCCACTGTTAGTTTTATGGCCTTCCCTTTGTGGGTAACCTGACCTTTCTCTCTGGCTGCCCTTAACATTTTTTTCCTTCATTTCAACCTTGTTGAATCTGATGATTATGTGTCTTGGGGATGCTCTTCTCGAGGAGTATCTTTGCAGTGTTCTCTGTATTTCCTGAATTTGAATGTTTGCCTGTCTTGCTAGGTTGGGGAAGTTCTCCTGGATAATATCCTAAAGAATGTTTTCCAGTGTGGTTCCATTCTCCCTGTCACTTTCAAACAAATCAAACATAGATTTGGTCTTTTCACATAGTCCTATATTTCTTGGAGGCTTTGTTCGTTCTTTTCACTCTTTTTTCTCTAATCTTGTCTTCTCTCTTTATTTCACTGAGTGATCTCCAATCTCTGATATCCTTTTTCTCACTTGATTGATTCAGCTATCTGTACTTGTGTATGCTTCATGAAGTTCCCATGCTGTGTATTTCAGCTCCATCAGGTCATTTATGTCCTTCTCTAAATTGGTTATTGTGGTTACTGATTTGTCTAACCTTTTTTCAAGGTTCTTAGCTTCCTTGCATTGGGTTAGAACATGCTCCTTTAGCTCTGAGGAGTTTATTACCCACCTTCTGAATCCTACTTCTGTCAATTTGTCAAACTCATTCTCCATCCAGTTTTGTTGTGTTGCTGGTGAGGATTTGTGATCCTTTGGAGGAGAAGAGGTGTTCTGGTTTTTGGAATTTTCAGCCTTTTTGCGCTGGTTTCTCCCAATTTTCATGAATTTATCTACCTTTGGTCTTTGAAGTTGGTGACCTTCCAGTGGGGTCTCTGAGTGGACATCCTTTTTGTTGATGTTGATACTGTTCCTGTTTTTTAGTTTTTCTTCTAATAGTCAGGACCTTCTGCTGCAGGTCTGCTGGAGTTTGCTTGAGGTCTACTCCAAACCCTGTTTGCCTGGATATCACTGGCAGAGCCTGCAGAACAGCAAAGATTGCTGCCTGTTCCTTCTTCTGGAAGCTTTGTCCCAGTGGGGCACCCACCAGATGCCAGCCGGAGCTCTTCTGCATGAGGTGTTCGTTGGTGCCTTCTGGGAGGTGTCTCTCAATCAGAATACATGGGGGTCAGGGACCTACTTGAGGAGGCAGTCTGACCCTTATTAGAGCTCGAATGCTGTGCTGGGAGATCCGCTGCTCTCTTCAGAGTCGTCAGGCAGGAACGTTTAAGTCTGCTGAAGCTGTACCCACAACCACCCCTTCCCCCAGGTGCTCTGTCCCAGGGAGATGGGGGTTTTATCTACAAGTCCCTGACTGGGGCTGCTGCCTTTTTTTCAGAGGTGTCCTGCCCACATAGGAGGGAATGTGGAGGGGCAGTCTGGCTGCAGAGGCCTTGCAGAGCTGAAGTGGGCTCTGCCCAGTTCGAACTTCCTGGTGGCTTTATTTACACTGAGGGAGCAGCCTACTCAAGCCTCAGCAATGGTGTACGCCCCTCTCCCCACCAAACTGGAACATCCCAGGTTGAGCTCAGACTGCTGTGCTGGCAGTGAGAATTTCAAGCCAGTGGATCTTAGCTTGTTTGTCTCTGTGGGGGTGGGACCCGCCGAGCCTGACTACTTGACTCCCAGGCTTCATCCCCCTTTCCAGGGGAGTGAACGGTTCTGTCTTGGTGGCATTACAGGTGCCACTAGGGTATGAAAAAAAACTTCTGCGGCTAGCTCATCGTCTGCCCAAACAGTTGTCCAGTTTTGTGCTGGAAACCTAGGGCCCTGGTGGTGTAGGCACCTGAGGGAATCTCCTGTTCTACGGGTTGTGAAGACCATGGGAAAAGTGCAGTATCTGGGCCGGAGTGCATGGTATGGTCCCTAATGGTTTCCCTTGGCTAGACAAGGCAGTTCTCTAACCGCTTGCGCTTCCCAGGTGAGGCGAAGCCCCACCCTGCTTCGACTCGCCCTCCTTAGGTCCCACTGTTCAACCAGTCCCAATGCAATGAACTGGGTACCTCAGCTGGAAATGCAGAAATTATCCACCTTCTGCGTCCATCTCACTGGGAGATGCAGACCAGAGCTGTTCCTATTCGACCATCTTGCCAGCACCTCCTATTAATGTATCTTTAAAAGCTACTTTATTTATAAATTATCCAGAACATTTATAAAACATTAATAAAATATTATGTATACATTCAGCTCTGAATTTCTCAATGTCAAGGACTTAGTTTGTTCATCTTTGAATTCCAAGCATTCTTCTTTGCACATAATAAAGAGCACATATTTGTAAAAATATTGGACTTGCCACTCTGGGACTTTAGTTGTAACACAGGAAAGAGTCTAAAATCCTAAAAACATAACCACTGATGATATATTGTCAGATTGACACCAATTAGGATCAAAAAATATTTGCTCTAAGAAAGATATTGGAAACAAAACAGAAAAGCCCTATGCTACATTACTTTCAACTGTTGAAATAGCTACATTTGGAATTTTTGTTCTCAACCTGAAGACTATCATAACATGGCAGGAGACAATTTAGAGAAAGCACATACAGCTTTAATTAGTAGACATCTGAAACTGCAGGCTTTAATTTGATTGACATTGGTTATAAAAATGTTACATTAAAATTGGGTAAGAGGGCTTGAGAAGAAAACAATTTTGACCTATTTTCTTCTCATGACATAAATACTTTAGTGATATGTGAAATTGCCTTTCGAAGCAATGTACAGGAAAGACAATAAGAAAATATTTACATTTCTGTGATTATAACTGTCTTACAATTAAGAGTCATGTTGGAAAGACAGCCAAATAGAAATGGGGTTACATAGTAAAAATCTAAAACTTTTCCATTTCTTTTCATAATCACATGAGCTTCTCTCTTTGTTTGTAGTAAAACATAAAGGGCAGCCCAAGATATTCAATTATCTCACTAAACATTTTTTGGTTAATCTTGAGGAATGCAACATTTACATATGAGGATTGTGATGACCACAAAACTTATAAAATGTTTGTTACAGGATATTGTATTTGTTCACTTAGCTGATAAAATGCTTTTTTTTTTTGTAGAAAATTGAATTTATCTACTTAATCTGTAAATAAATTAACAGCCTTGGGAAAACTAACCCACTGCTCTATAAATGGATTCTACCATCATGTAATCAATTCAACACCATGTGTGGGTTCTCAGATTAAAAAAATTTAACTAACTCTGTGTTGCCTTTGACAGATTTAATTCAAATACAATATGAAATCTGGTATCTTTTACATGTGTGACAACAGCTTAAAATACAGGATTTTCAGTTAGAAAAGATCAAATCTAGGAATTTTAATCACCTAGAAGTAAGAAATTATGAAGACTATGGATAATGTTAGCATTGACTTTATTATTTTTTGAGACATGGTCTTGCTCTGTTGTTCAGGCTGGAGTGCAGTGGTGTAATCTTGACTCACTGCAGCCTCTGCCTCCTGGGTTCAAGTGATTTTCCTGCCTCAGCCTCCCAAATACCTAGGATTACAGGTGTCCACCACCACACCCGGCTAATTTTTTGTATTTCTAGTAGAGATAGGGTTTCTCTATGTTGGCCATGCTGGTCTTGAACTCCTGGCCTCATCCACCTGCCTCAGCCTCCCAAAGTGCTGGGATTACAAACATGAGCCACCGTGCCTGGCCAACATTGACTTATTTGTCTGGAATAACTCTTTCAAATTTGAAGGAATAAACATGAGACAATGAGAGTATTTACATAAATACTAAGAGAAGATAAAGGCTTAAACATGAATTAGTTCAAGAAGATTTTAGTCAAATTAATGAAGGATGAAGCCAAGATGAATGTAAGGAAATATCACTAACTTTTTGAGATTTTAATAGTGTAAATTCCTCTCCTTCTTTACCAAAACATATTTAGATGCTACCATCAAAGAAGTGTTAATTGCATTAAATTATTATGGCTAGTACTGGAAATTTGGATATGTAAGTAATTTATTAAATATTCTCAAATGATACTAACATCCGTTTAAAAAAATCTAACTTCTAACTTAAATAAAAATACATACATGCTCAAACATGCTCTGCAGAAACTCTTTTCCTGTTTTAATTACATCTCAGGCATCCCCGAACTTTCTGGCTGCTTTTGAGTATAAAAAAGTCCAGAGTTCAGTCCAGTACAATTTAAATAAGTTGACCATTTTAAGTTCAGATCTTTCTCTCTGCATAATGATCATTTAAACTCAGCCTGAGGGTCTTAGTGTGGAAAAGGCATAATCAAATCTTTTACTCTTCTGCCTTTTTCCTCTTCTGCTTCTTCTTTCTCCTTTAGTGAATTGGATCTAGGATCAGAGATGGGGAAAAGGGGCAGAAATCTTTTCATTTAATTGTAATCCTCTTGGCTGTCAATGACACGGGCAAGAAAGGCATCTGAATGGCAACTCTCTCATGTCGAACATGTGTGAAGCCATTGGGAATTTTGAGAGGTTTTCCGACTAAATGGTTTTATACTGTGGAAGCCATTCTCTTCACACCTTCCTTCAGCTTTCTCCCCAAGCAGTGTATCAGTCATTTCCCTTCTGCTAGAATCTGCTTCTGAAGTGGCAGCTCAAGCCAGTTACCTTCTTATCTGGGCTTATCTGGCTCATATGACACTCCTACATCCTTATAATTCCAAGCAGTTTGAATGTTCTGTGTCCTACATTGTCTCTTCACTTTGCATTGCCTCTCCACTTCTCTTTTCCTCCTGCACAAATGTTCATGAGGGCCACAAGTAAATGTCCACCTAGACAATGTGGTGTTATCTCATCTTCTTTCAGGCTCCATTTTTTATAAGTAGTTTTCTTGGAGCCTCATTATTTGGATGGGAGGAGCAACTCTTATTCTCCCTTTAAAAGGTAATGTGTAACATTTTAACAGAAGGTCTGCATTTTCTACAACTCTTTCCATGGGCCCCTGTGTTTCCTTTCTTCTTTCATGAGGTCTCGGGGGGTGCTGGTGAGACTGACGGTATTTACTTCTTTTAAAAAACCCTCCTGAGGCCGAGCTCAGTGGCTCACGATTGTAATCTCAGCACTTTGGGAGGTGAGGCAGGTGGATCATGAGGTCAGGAGTTTGAGACCAGCCTGACCAACATAGTGAAACCCCATCTCTACTAAAAATACAAAAAAATAGCTGGGCATGGTGGCAGGTACCTGTAATCCCAGCTACTTGGGAGGCTGAGGCAGGAGAATTGCTTGAATCCGGGAGGCAGAGGTTGCAGTGAGCCGAGATCGGGCCACTGCACTCCAGCCCTGACAGTGCGAGGCTCTGTCTCAAAAGAACTAATTAAACCTTTGTCAGATGAGTAGATTGCAAAAATTTCCTCCCATTCTGTAGGTTGCTTGTTCACTCTGATGGTAGTTTCTTTTGCTGTGCAGAATCTCTTTAGTTTAATTAGATCCCATTTGTCAATTTTGGCTTTTGATGCCATTGCTTTTGGTGTTTTAGCCATGAAATCCTTACCCATGCCTATGTCCTGAATGGTATTGCCTAGGTTTTCTTCTAGGGTTTTTAAGGTTTCAGGCCTAACATTTAAGTCTTTAATCCATCTTGAATTAATTTTTGTATAAGGTGTAAGGAAGGGATCCAGTTTCAGCTTTCTGCATATGGCTAGCCAGTTTTCCCAGCATCATTTATTAAATAGGGAATCCTTTCCCCATTTCTTGTTTTTGTCAGGTTTGTCAAAGATCAGATGGTTGTAGATGTGTGGTATTGTTTCTGAGGGCTCTGTTCTGTTCCATTGGTGTATATCTCTGTTTTGGTACCAGTACCATGCTGTTTTGGTTATTGTAGCCTTGTAGTATAGTTTGAAGTCAGGTAGCGTGATGCCTCCAGCTTTGTTCTTTCGGCTTATGATTGACTTGGCTATGCAGGCTCTTTTTTGGTTCCATATGAAGTTTAAAGTAGTTTTTTCCAATTCTGTGAAGAAAGTCATTGGCACCTTGATGGGGATGGCATTGAATCTATAAATTACCTTGGGCAGTATGGCCATTTTCATGATATTAATTCTTACTATCCGTGAGAATGGAATGTTCTTCCATTTGTTTGTATCCTCTTTTATTTCGTTGAGCAGTGGTTTGTAGTTCTCCTTGAAGAGGTCCTTCACATCCCTTGTAAGTTGGATTCCTGGGTATTTTATTCTCTTTGAAGCAATTGTGAATGGGAGTTCACTCATGATTTGGCTCTCTGTTTGTCTGTTATTGGTGTATAAGAATGCTTGTGATTTTTGCACATTGCTTTTGTATCCTGAGACTTTCCTGAAGTTGCTTATCAGCTTAAGGAGATTTTGGGCTGAGACGATGGGGTTTTCTAGATATACAATCATATCATCTGCAAACAGGGACAATTTGATTTCCTCTTTTCCTAATTGAATACCCTTTATTTCCTTCTCCTGCCTGATTGTCCTGGCCAGAACTTCCAACACTATGTTGAATAGGAGTGGTGAGAGAGGGCATCCCTGTCTTGTGCCAGTTTTCAAAGGGAATGCTTCCAGTTTTTGCTCATTCAGTATGATATTGGCTGTGGGTTTGTCATAAATACTCTTAGTGTTTTTAGATACGTCCCATCAATACCTAATTTATTGAGAGTTTTTAGCATGAAGCGTTGTTGAATTTTGTCAAAGGCCTTTTCTGCATCTATTGAGATAATGATATGGTTTTTGTCTTTGGTTCTGTTTATATGCTGGATTACGTTTATTGATTTGCATATGTTGAACCAGCCTTGCATCCCAGGGATGAAGCCCACTTGATCATGGTGGATGAGCTTTTTGATGTGTTGCTGGATTTGGTTTGCCAGTATTTTATTGAGGATTTTTACATCGATGTTCATCAGGGATATTGGTCTAAAATTCTCTTTTTTTTGTGTGTCTCTCCCAGGCTTTGGTATCAGGATGATGCTGGCCTCATAAAATGAGTTAGGGAGGATTCCCTCTTTTTCTATTGATTGGAATAGTTTGAGAAGGAATGGTAACAGCTCCTCCTTGTACCTCTGGTAGAATTCGGCTGTGAATCCATCTGGTCCTGGAATTTTTTAAGTACTCAAACAAATTTACAAGAAAAAAACAGCCCTATCAAAAAGTGGGCAAAGGATATGAACAGACACTCCTCAAAAGAAGACATTCATGCAGCCAACAGACACATGAAAAAATGCTCATCATCACTGGCCATCAGAGAAAAGCAAATCAAAACCACAGTGAGATATCATCTCACACCAGTTAGAATGGCGATCATTAAAAAGTCAGGAAACAACAGGTGCTGGAGAGGATGTGGAGAAATAGGAACACTTTTACACGTTGGTGGGACTGTAAACTAGTTCAACCATTGTGGAAGCAGTGTGGCGATTCCTCAGGGATCTAGAACTAGAAATACCATTTGACCCAGCCATCCCATTACTGGGTATATACCCAAAGGAATATAAATCATGCTGCTATAAAGACACATGCACACATATGTTTATTGCAGCACTACTCACAATAGCAAAGACTTGGAACCAACCCAAATGTGCAACAATGATAGACTGGATTAAGAAAATGTGGCACATATACACCATGGAATACTATGCAGCCATAAAAAATGATGAGTTCATGTCTTTTGTAGGGACATGGATGAAGCTGGAAACCATCATTCTCAGCAAACTCTTGCAAGGACAAAAAAACCAAACACTGCATGTTCTCACTCATAGGTGGGAATTGAACAATGAGAACACATGGACACAGGAAGGGGAACATCACAAACCAGGGCCTGTTGTGGGGTGGGGGAGGGGGGCGGGATAGCATTAGGAGATATACCTAATGTAAATGACGAGTTAATGGGTGGAGCAAACCAACATGGCACATGTATTCATAAGTAATAAACCTGCACGTTGTGCACATGTACCCTATAACTTAAAATATAATGGAAAAAGTATACATAAAAAAGGAAAAATAAAGTTAAAAAAACTAACTAAATAAACAAACAAACTAAAAAACCCTCCTGAATGCTCTCTTTAGAATGCCTGTGGTGATACTTGGATGCAAATCTAAAGCATCAGGAAAAGTTAAATTCACAATTAATTACTTATATGTCGAGCTGGAGATTTGCAGGAGCACTCTTTATTCCAATGCATTTTTTCATCCACCCTTCCCACATTTTCAGATATGATAAATCATTCAACGGAAGGCACCGTTCTTCAATAAAACATTTAAGATTTTCAAATCATCTGTACTCAATGATTTCTGTTTAAACTTGCCGAAGTCTCATCTGTAGCTTGAAATCCAAATCCCTCTTTATCAGATTCTTGATATAATTAATTACTTATTTACATAGTTGTTCTAAAATTCTCTATTTTTAGAAACCTATGATTACATAATGGTCAAAGAACAAGCTCTATTACTGCAAATATTATTACAGCTAGTATTTAAATGGTTGGAAAATTATAGCACATCTCTTTTTCTCATAGACATGTAGGGGCAAAGTGAATGTATGCACATCTGAGGCAAAAAGAGATTACATTTATATATAATTTGTACCTGAAACAATTTCTGTTCATATGCCTTTTATAGTGTGCAGAATGAAAATAACGCCTCTCCCTTTAAAAAGAGCCACTTCTAAGGAGACTAAGCTAAGAATGTTTCTTCCATTTGAAGACAAATTTTTACTTTGAAAAGTAAAATATGATAGCTTATCAAAAATTCAGTTTGTTAAATCTTATTGAAGATTCAGACCAAAGCCATTTTGAAAGACTAGTATTTTAATTTGCCTGCTGTAGGTTTTTCTTATGTATTTATTTTATGTAGCTATCTTTCAGTTTCATGAAACAGTCAAGCAAATATTGATAGGTGTGTTGAATTTAGTAACACTACTTTCCTAACTTAAGTTATCTATTTCCCTTCAGCTGCCCGTTGAAGATGACCTCATGCTTGCTGATGTAATATTAGTGATTGATTGTTAAAAGGATGTTGATATTTCCGTATGCTGTTTATTTTGCTTCTTCATATATTAAATTGGTCTTCTTTTCTTTGTCCTTTGTATACTTTCTGATTCTTTTGAGAACATACAATAAGTGCTCATAAAATCAGTTATAAATTATATTGTTGAAAAAAATACAAATGTGAATTAGCTTCCTCATAATCAGACTTTCTTTCCTAAAAAAAAAAATTACACAGCTACATTTTTGAGTCAAAGTTCTCTCTTATTCATGGCTCCTATTTATTTTATATTTGAGCTACATTAACTATATACTTAGCACAAAATACTTCTATAAATTTTCTAATATGTTAGATCACATTATCTGAGAATATTTTCCCAGTTTTTGTCAACTTTGTGACATATTTCACTCACAATTCACATTTCACTGAACAATTTTGCTAAACACTTGCAATGTGGCAGTATTGAGCTATATCCTGAAAGTGTCACTAGTAAACAAGAGATGAGGTCTCTGTCCTCAGAGTTCAAAGTCTGGTTGTGGAAATAGAAAAAGAAAACAGCTAGTCAATGTATAAACTAGAAAATTAGACACTGTGATGAATATTTGAAGAAAATATTGGGTTCTCGTAGGACTTAGTCTATTATAAGTTTGTAGGATAAACTCAATTATTTGGTGTCTAGTATACAAACACCTAACTCATACATTTTCACCCCCCTTATAAATAACTATGGTTTATTTGAACATTTTATGTAGTTCAGTCAAATACAGCTTTTCAATTATGATAGTTTTATTATTTAAAAATACACCCTTACAAGTGAGTTAAAATTATGGACCCTTGAAGAGAAGTTTAAATTTCATGAATTATAGTTTGTAAGAACTATTTGCAACATGGGATACATGTGCCACACTTTGTACCTTTACTATATGAGGCTTAATTCTCCAGCCTTATATTTCACTGTTCTTCAATTACCCTTCTCCTCCCATGTTCTAATCTTACTGAGGTTCTTGCTCCTGAACATGCCTTACTTTTTTTCTTTTGACCCTCTAAATATACCATTCCCTACATCTTCTACAGTCTCTACACTTTTTCCCCACTATCATCCACCTACAAGACTATCGTATCTTATATGCAGATTCCCAGTATCTGGGCCATAGTACACATTCAATACATGTTCTTAAGTAAATAAATAAATAAATGGATGAATGAAAGAATTCCGCAAAGTGACAAGAAAGGCAGTTCTGTTTATACACTCAAGTCTGGGATGTAATTAATCTATCTTGAAATTATTTTACTCTTTCTTGTTTATAGCCAATGTATTAAGATCCTACATACAGTGTCTGAATCCTCATTTGGTGTTTCAGATGATCACAGAAGGTGTTACATAATTTAGATAATATACAAAACAAATTTAACTCAAATCTAAAATGTAAAATACCTCATTTTTAGGAGAGGAAGCAAGGATTCATATATGTAGCAAGCACAGAGAGTTATGATCCATTTTTGCAACTCTAATAGAGAAAAGAATCATTATATTCTACCCTGCTATGGTAATTTTAGATACAGCCTATAGATATGAAAAGATATTTTGGATCTTGGTTGAGTGATTCATCATTCAAAGCACTAAGATAATTTATATAAAGTAAAATGTATCTGTTTTGGGAATATAGCCATTTCACTTTATGTTGTTTACATCAAGATGATGTTAATCTCAAATCATTCATTTCTATACTAATCATACAGATGATAAAAGTTCTTATCCAATATATTACGTTGTTCATGGGTAAATTCCATTCAATATAGAATAAGAAATTTTATCTTACTTTATCCATATAAAAGGCAATAAAAAGTGCTATAAAAATAAATCAGGAGCTTTAAGCAGTTTGATTTTCAGATGAACCTAAGAAAATCATGGACAGCTGAAGATTTCTCTGCATTTGGAACCAATTATTAAATCCTGCTATGGAGAATGAAGCTAGTATAGATTTCTAGCCTACCAGATAATTCTTAGAATATCTACTTTGATTTGTTTTTCTGCTACATAAAATTGAGGAGACATCCAATGTATTTTCTGAGTGACCATTTCTAATAATGTAACTAGATAATCAGCCTGTTTATAGAATGACCCCCAGCAGCAAAATACAGCCCCTAAGATGAAGGCATTAGGGAGATTTAATGATTTTGCCTCTTATCAAGCACATGGGGATTCAGCATAGTTGTAGCTCCAGTATAGAATTAAAATGCTAGGGAGAGGTCCAATTGAATGGATTGGTCCAACCCAGCAGGAGACAGGGGAAGCATGCAACCCGATGAACACATAGGTACGTAGGGCTCAGTGTGGACTTACAAGATAGTGGAATCACAAGCCAAGAGACCAGTTCTGGACCCCATGGTTGTAGAGTTTGTTCAATAAATGGGTAAAGCAGAGTTTGAGAGATGTAGATATATCCCTACAGTTAGGAGAGTCAGGAGATGGCAAGGGCCAGAGAGGTGGATGTCTGAAAATGTGGCCTCAGTGGAAAATTAGACAGAAAAACCTAAATGCTTTTTAATCTTCTCAGGTATGTTTAAAATTCTTAAGAAAAAGCAACCATATGGACCGTTAAACACTAAAAGCAACACATTACTCCTTGAGTTTTCTTTATTGAGTTTTGAAATCATCAATTTTAATTAACCTCTTTTCATGCTTCTTAGACCTTTCCTTACAATTTTCTACTTACATTAACAGACTAAGAAATGAGATATTATCTGCATATTTCTTCCTTAAACTAACAAGGAAATTTGTCTAAATGGACAAGACAGACTTTATTTTTCACTAGCAGCGTTACACAAGAGAAATAATAAGTGGAAATTTAAGCAACTCAATGTAATGATTATCTGAAGTTGGCACTAACAGGCTGTAAGATAACAGATTTTCCTTCTTGAATTTTCTATCTAGGAATGTAGCTTTTCTATGTCAATTCATTATTGCGTCTATAATCAGGTGGTCTGCTGTAATTGATTGGATCTCAAGACACGTGTCTTAATCCAGGAAACATAAAATACAGAATACAGATGTCAAACTTGAAATTGCTTTCACTGTTGTAACCTATCTCTGTTGCCTACTCTACTTTCCAGTCTCTCTCTCTCTTATGTGCTTTTCTTGTTTCCTTTGTTTGCTTTCTTCCCTCATAATACTTCTTCAATTTTTGGTTTAGTAGAACCAGACATATGTTCCCTAACATATGTGGCTAGTCCCAAAGTGTCTTTGTATTAGCTTAAGTCTCAGTAATTGGTTATATTTGAACTTTGCTCTGCAGATGGCATTAGTTCTAATTTTTAATTCTAAATTGATCCTATTCAAGTCAGACAATGGCAAGATGATAGGAAAATATACAATCTCCCTTTCTACAGAGCTTCAGGATCTGAAAGTCCACTGACAATTTGAAGATCTGTGCTGACTATAAGGTCACTAGAATTCTCTCAGTGGGAGATACTTATGTGCTTTATAATTTATTTTGCAAAGGAAGCAATTTATTCATTTTAAACATATGTGAAGCATATTATCTGGTTCTATTTACTTATTTTTGAGGTATAATTTACATGTAAAATTGTATATATTTAAGGTATATAATGTGATGATATATTCATGCATTATGAAATGATTAGCACAATAAAACTAATTAACATACCTGTTACCTCACATAGTTACCTTTTCTTTTTATTTTGTGGTAAGAATATTTAAGATCTACTCTTCTAGCAAATTTCAAGTATGCAATACATTATTGTTAACTATAGTCACCATGCTGCACAATAGCTCTCCAGAACTTATTACTCTTATAATTGCAGGTTTGTACCCTTTTATCATCAACAAATAGTCCAATTTATTTTGAAAAACATAAATGCTTCTTCCTAAGGCTACAGTATTTCGTCATCAATTTTTTCTTAAATCACTGCAACTGGCTATATTGTGGTGGTATCTTCACTCTCCCAACTTAGTAGTTATTAGAAAGTAATGTCATACTTTTCAACAAAAATACATTTCCCCTTTGCATCCCTTTTGTTCAACAAATAGCTTCTTTAAGAAACTGCACTGAATACATCAAATTTTAATACAGTTGGTATTTATCTTTTGTGTGTATGAATGAGAACTTTTTTATTGTGGTAAAATACACATAACATGGAGTTTACCATCGTAACCATTTTAAAGCGTATAAATCAATGACATCTAGTACATTCACCATGTTGTGCAACAATCCACTAATCTAGATTAAGAATAATATTCCATCGTTATATAGATATGCCATTTTGTAGTATGTATCAGCACCTCATTACTTTGTTTGTTTTGTGACAGGAACTTTCTCTGTCACATTGTCTGGAGTGCAGTGATGTAATCACTGCAACCTCCACCTCCCAGGCTCAAGCAATCCTCATACCTCAGCCTCCTGAGTAGCTGAGACTACGGGCACGTGCCACCATACCTGGCTAATTTTTTGTAGAGACAGGACTTCACCATGTTGCCCATGCTGGTCTTAAACTGAAGAGCTCAAGAGATCCTCCTGCTTTGGCCTCCCAAAATGTTGGAATTACAGGCGTGAGACACTGAACCCATTATTTTTATAGCTGAATAATATTCCATTTTATAGATATTTTACATTTTGTTTATCCATTCATTTGTCAATGGATATTTGGGTTGTTTTCACCTTTTGGGTATTGTGAATAGGGCTGCTGTGAATATTTGTGTACGAGTTTTCATTTGAACACCTGTTTTTAATTCCTTTGGTATCTGCCTCTGCATTGATTACCAGGGGAAATTTATTGACAGTTTTAATTTCTTCTGGTAGAAATTGAGATAGGTATTTTCAGGCATTCCCTGTGTATCAACAGGAATACAGCTACTGGTAGGCAGAGAAGTGTGTTCCCTTGGGATTTGTTTTATCCACATGAGAATCTAAAGATGGGAATTGAATCACCAGTAACAGTATCAGAAGCCATAGAAGTGTGTGGAGTGCAGTGCTATAAAGTACTATGGTCAATGATAAGATGGTTTTAAATCTGGCTGGTGACAGAAATGATTATTAACATTAAACTACAGATAATTTTTCTAGTATATATATTACATGCTCTTTAGTAAGGTTTACAAAGTACATTTTTAACACTAGTTCTGCTCTTTCTTATATAGAAATATTCCCTAAGCAGTGGTAGCATTTTGTAGCATGTTTCTGCATTGGCCACAAGTAGTAAAGATAATCGTCAAGTTGTAGGTACTCACATAGGATTTATGAATGAGTTACTAAGGGACAGGGTCAACTAGCAGGCTCCATCAGTGTGCCTGTACCTTGATGAAATTTGATGATAACGTCTGTGGCCCTATTTCTTTGGCCAGTCAGTAGCTAATTTATTTAATTTGTGAATTTATTCCGTGTGAAGTTTATTAAAATCTAAAAGAAATGAAAGATAATAAAAAGAATTATAAGCAGCCAGATAATTTTCATACCAGATATAATTTTAGTTAAATCTTTCTAATGATCTTAAATTTAGGTATTATCTTTAAGTTGCAGACGAAGATATCAAAGTTAAGGTATTTGCCCACTGATGCTATTTCCTCAATGTCACATAAAGAAAATGTTGTGAAGATATTGTTTCAAACATTGTTTCTATAATTCCTGAAATCCGTGTTCTTTATGTTGGTAGTTAGAATATTGGGATAAAGATGGTCAGAAATGACTTTATTAGAACAAAGGTCAAAGGTGTGATGGAATTCAAAGTAGAATAGATCTCCTCTGGTTGAGAGAACTGGTGAGGACCAGATGAAATAAAGAAAGTGACATTTAGGCAGGGCACGGTGGCTCATACCTGTAGTCCTAGCACTTTGGGAGGCTGAGGTGGGTGGCTCACTTGAGCCCAGGAGTTCGAGACCAGCCTGGGCAATGTGTGGAAACCCCATCTCTACAAAAATTAGCTGGGCATGGTAGTGTGTGCCTGTGGTCCCAGCTACTCAGGAGGCTGAGGTGGACAAATCATTTGAACCCAGGAGTCAGAGGTTGCAGTGAGCTGAGATAGCGCCACTGCCCTCCAGTCTGGCCAACAGAGCAAAAACCTGTCTTAAAATAAATAAATAAATAAATGTGACATTTGAAATGTTTCTTAAAGAAATGGATAGGGATGCGATAAACACAGATTGGGAGTAAATATAGCAAGGTGTTAAAACATAGAGTTTGGACAGCAGCTGAAATTTGGGTTTTGAATGAGTAAGTAGTGGAAGATTCACTTGCAAGTAGTGGAGTTTGTGGAAAGCCTTGACTGAGAAGCTGAAGAGTTTTGGAAAGAAAAACAAGTTATTGAAGGATTTAAGTAGAGCAGTAATTTGAATGGATACAAGATGAATCTAGCAACTACGTGTATGATATCTTGGAGTGGAAAATTCTGAAGTAGAGGATATAATATATAAGACTTTGAAAAATAGTCCATTGAGAAAAATCAGCTGATGAACCAAAAGTGGTAGCAATAGGAATAGAAAGGAGCACAGAGGCATGTGAATTATTGTTCTAGTGACATACTGCTTGGTTCTAGTGGCTGACCGTATGGATATCTTCACTGTTTAGTGGAAGCATATGTCACCTCTTGAGAGTGTTATCATTTAGTTATTTAGGGACTGATGAAATTCAAATTTTAGCCTTATGTAAACACACACATACACAATTTCCTATGCTCTTGTAACTGTTATTCTATTAATTGTTAGAACCAGGGCTAAAAACTTGGGTACATTTAACCCCAATATTTAAAGAGGATAATAAATCATGTAATAATCGCTCAGTGAAACTGAGTGGGAGAAGTTGGGTCTGTCTGGATAATGGCTGCTCTGTACAACTACATAGACTAATAGAATATCAAAGGAAATAAAACTTTATTATTTTCTAATAAATGCAATAACAAAACCAGGCTCACAAAGTATATGTCAGATATATCTAGAGTTCATACCTTAACAAAAAAATGATTTGTGTCTAATACGTCAGGTATCCTGATATATATGTAAATGCAAATCATTCCTTCAAAATGATATCTCTCACAATATCTCCTTTTAGAAATTTTCTTTGTTCTACTAATTTACTTAGTCAATTTTTTTTCACCTGGCATAGAAAAGAAATTTTATTTTTCTCTGACTTATACTGATAACAAAGGATTCTACAGTGAGAATAAATTTTGAAATTACACAGTTCTTCATTAAGGCTAATCCTAAAAATCCCTTATGGAAAAGCAGTTTCAGCCTCAAGAATCCTGTATGACTTTAGGAAGGTTTAGTATAATGTTTCTCTACATTACTCTAATGTAGTCACCCATTTATTTATTTAACCAAACATTTATTGTGTGCCTACCATTGGTGAATAAATTTCCTATCATTGAGCTTAGTAGAGGATAGAAGATAGATAAAATACGTAAGAAAACAAAATCAATCTATAATCTAATATCAGGTGATGATGAATGCCATGAACAACAACACTGAAAAACTGGAAAAAACATAGCCCAGAAAAATACAAGGGAGCAGTGTTACTGCATGCCATTTCAAAGATATGATGGGTAGAGAAGGCCTCTGTGAGGCGGTGACATTTGAGTAGAGACCTGAATAAAGTGAGGAACAAGCCAAGGGGGATCTAGTGACGGAATATTTCAAAACAGCAAGAACAGTAAGCAAAGACCCTGAGGTAAAAACAAGATTACAATTTTTGAGAAGCAGGAAGAAGGCTAACATGAAATGAAGAGGACAGTGGTGGGAAGCTGGAAAGCTAGACAGAGGCCAGCTCACGGAGGACTTTGGAGGTGATGGTAAGGAGTTTGCATTTTAGCTTAAGGTTGATTAACATTTTTGAAGGATTTTGAATAGGGAAGTCACATAATCTGATTTATGTTTTAAAGATTAGACTGTGTTGTAGAAAGAGGAGATTGAATAGAGATGAGTGGAATCAAGCAGATAAGTTCAGTAGTTCAGTAAGAGATATTGTAACAATATACTTTTGAGATGTTCATTTCATTTCACATTCCATGAGTCTGGTTCCATTAACTCTATGTTATTCAACCTTTTTTCAATGTGGAATCAAAGACAGTCTAAGAGGAGATCATATGTCTTATTAAAAGGCACATGTGGGTAAAATTGGCAGGTGGGGACTGGTACTGAAATTGTGTTTTGATTTTACTTTTCCAGCTTTTTTTTTTTAAATCACAGTAGGCCAGTGTTAAGCAGATTTGATAGAATAGGAAAATAAAGAGAAACATAAGAAAGAAAAATAAGTGATATGTTTTTTCATATAGAACATCTCTTGGTGGTTTTGAAATTTTTGGAAGCCTTTACTGAGTACCTTCAGGACAAGATACAGTTTAACCTGGCATTCAAAGCCTTCCATGGCTTAACCTATGTCTACTTTCTAGCCTTAGTTTCTGTCACAACCTTGTTCATATTTTTCTGTTTAGCAATAGGAAATGGTCAAAAAATTCATTTTATTGCAAGTCTCATTGCTTTTGCTTATATTCTTCCTATATTACATGGTAAAATTATTTTTTATGCTTTAAAACTTACTTGATTAATCAGCATTACAGGGAGGTCTTTTCACTATCCCTCCTTATTCACTGTTGCTCACCTTTGTCAATGAAAAGTCAAAGAGTGACTGCAAAGCAGTAAGACAAGGCATTTACTCGGGTCTTAGGAATTGCAATTCAGGAGACAGAGACTCAGCTAAAAGCCAAATTGTGTTCTGAAGAAAGGTAGTAGGAATTTTTAAAAGCATGCTGAAGGCGATTACACAAGTTATTTTGAAGGAATAATCATTAATGGAGGTAGCTGGCATAGTACATGATTCCATAGTTCATTGGTTGTCATTGTTCATAAGTTGTAGTGCTGATGAAATGTAGCTGTTTTTCAAGATGTTGTGGTCATGGTGATTTGGCCCAGTTAAAAGGTTCAAGGCAATTTCCTGTTTTGCAAGGTTGCAGGTTGTGCAGGTAGTCCTTAGAAAGGCTTGCCAACTCCATGTTAGAGCTCTGAGCCATAGCGAGGCTGCTACAGGAACAGGGTCTTGACTCACCGAGTAAAGTGACAGCAAGTTTATTAGAGATGTAAAAAAACAAAAGAATGGCTACTCCATAGGCAGAGCAGCCCCAAGGACTCCTAATTGGCTATTTTTATGTTTATTGCTTGATCATATGCTAAACAAGGGGTGGATTATTCATGAATCTTCCAGGAAACGGATGGGCAGTTCCCAGAAGTGAGGGTTCGTCCCCGTTTTAGATAATATAAGGTAACTTCTGAATATTGCCATGGCATTTGTAAACTGTCATGGCGCCGGTGGGAGTGTCTTTTAGCATGCTAATGCATTCTAATTAGTGTATAATGAGCAATGAGAATGATTAGAGGCAATTTTTGTCACCATATTGGTTCTGGTGGGTTTCAGTTGGCTTCTTTACCACATCTTATTTTATCAGTAGGATCTTTGTGACCTGTATCTTGTGCCAATCTCATATCTCATCCTATGACTAAGGATGCCTAACCTCCTGGAAATGCAGCCCAGCAGGTCTCGGCCTCATTTTACCCAGACCCTATTCAAAATGGAGTCACTCTGGTTTGAACGCCTCTGACAATGCCATTTTGTATATCACATTTTATACCTTCTTTGGTCACTTCACCCAAGGGGAGCATAATTACCTCTTCTTGCATGCCACTTCTGTACCACCAACATGTGTCCAGAGTGTCATTAGTTATTCTGTGTTGCTTGTTTGCGTGTCTATTTTTCCTCCAATAATGTGACAGCTCTTTGAAGGTGTTTAAAACCCTCTGGTGTCTCTTTGTTGCCCTCATGGTAAAGTCTAAATTTCTAAAATGGCATAAAATAAACTTTTCATAAGATCCAGACTTGACTTTGCATTTGGACTCATCCTCTTACAGTAGGTAGGTAGTCAGACGTGAGCAGGGCAGGAGAGGGTCCCCACCTACCCAACACACACACCAGGAATGTCAGATGACAATCAGGTGATGTTCAGGCAGTTGTTAACTGTCTCTCTAAAATATTAATAATAATTGGTCACAGCCAGTGCCAGGGGAAGGCAATCTTCCAATAAATAGAAAAACCTGAAACTGGTGATCAGCTGCTTCCAAATAAGAACTCAGGAGTTTGGCAGGTGTGCTCAAGCATGTGCACTGAGAGGCAAAATGGCAGAGTTTAACTGGTATATGACCTTCTAGGAACATTCAACTGGTGAGGGAAAAACACCTCAAGTGAGCATGTATACAACTCCAGTAAACACACTGTGCATGTGGCCATTCCCAAGCACTAGCAGACCACTGAGCATGCAGACAGCCCACCTCAAGGGAAGAATTAGGGAGAAGGGATGCAAGACCCTGGAAGTATGCCAACATATAAAACCCCAAGTCAAAAGTCAAACCAGGCACTTGAATCTCTCAAGTTGCCTGGTGGGCCCTCTTCCAAGTGTACTTTACTTCCTTTCATTCCTACTCTAAAACTTTTTAATAAACTTTCACCCCTGTCTAAAACTTGCCACAGCCCCTCCTTCTGCCTTCTGCCCCTCAAATTCTTTCTTCTGAGTAGACAAGATTTGAGGTTGCTGCAGATCTATATGGGTTTGCCAGTAACAATCTCTGCCTAATCTCTGCTCTCTTTCTCTTGCTTCTATCTATACTATACTACAGTTAATTTTTGAGATTAGCCATGCTCTCTCTTGCCTCATTGCCTCTGAATATGCTGTCCTCTCTTCCTAGAACATCTATTCCCACCTTAATCCTGAAAATGCCTTTGCAAAAATTATAATACTGAGAAAATTATGGCAGTGTGGGAGATCTGATCTAGCAATCTCCCTTTTGCCTTTAGCCTTCAAACTGGTTAAATTATTTCTGGGCTTAGACTGGGCTATCTTTGGGAGACATTTAGTTTAAATGATAATAGCCCTTCCCTAAAACTCAACTGTCTTTGTAAAGTTAAGGAGACCATCAGGCTAAGGGGAGAAGAGGAGCCTGAATTCCGCTAAGGTGTAGACATAAATGATCACCTGCTATTATCTGTGAGAACACAAGACATGCAATTTCCCCAATTACTCCTGCAGATAATATCACTATTATATAATCTAAAAATTGGCCTTTTGAGAATCTTTTCAGTTTTTTTTTTTTTTTTTTTTTGGCATGTCTGACACCTGGCTGCACCTGGACCTGCCAATTGTTTCTGTGGCCCCACCCAGAAGCAACTCAGTGGAAGAGAGTAGCTTTAATTGGCTGTGATTTCATCTCTGACACAACCAATCAGCAGCAAGCACTCATTGCCTAGCCACCCCCACTCCTTCCCCTAAACTGCCTTTGAAAAACCCCTAACCTACAAGCCTTTGAGGTGATTGATTTGAGTACTAACTCTGTTTCCCAAGTGGTGTGGCTGGCTCACATCAATTAAACTCTTTCTTTACTGCAATGCCATGGTCTTTGCAATGGGCAGGAAGAACCCATCAAGCAGTTACAATCTCATTGCCTGGATAATTCCTACTTGTACTTTAGGTCTCAGTAGTCTGTACATTTTCCAGGAAGTCTTTCTAGATGACCATGTCTGGGTTAGGTGTGCCTCTGGTGAATACATTGCACTTGTGCCCTTGCCTCATCATAATACCATTCTGTGTTCCACTTATTTACTTGTCTGTATTCTCAACTAGACTCTATGCTACTTGATGGAGGACATCATGTTTGTATTTGTGTGATATGTGAAATATATATTAGTTCTTCATCGTTTCCTGGCGTATAACTCCTAGAATCCTCAGAATCTTCAAAACAATGGATCTTTTTGTGTGCTAATTAGTTGATGGATGGCTGGCAGCCCCTAGTTAGCTTCAGGATGGGGGCTGGTCACTGGAAAGACCAGAGAAGGAGTAAAAGGTTGGGACTTTCAGCCCTACCCCACAACCTCTGGGGAGCAGAGAGAGGTTGAAGGTCAAGTTGATTACTAATGGCCAATGATTTAATCAGTCATACCTATAAAATGAAGATTCCATAAAAATCCCAAAGAAGTAGGTTCAGGGAGCTTGCAGATAGCTGCACACATGTGGGATTCCAGGAAAGTGAACAAGAACACAGCCACATGTCAGGAGGGTGGTGCACCTCAACTCCATCAGAAGAGAAGCTCCTGTGCTCTAGATCCTTCCAGACCTTGCCCTGTGTATCTCTTCATCTGACTGTTAATTTCTATCCTTTGAAATATTTCTTGCAATAAACTAGTAAATGTAAGTGTTTCTCTGAGTTCTGTGAGCTTCTGAAGAACATTAATTGAACCCAAAGAGGGGGCTGTGGAAACTCTTGATTTATAGCCAGTTGGTCAGAAGCAAAATAACCTGTGGCTCTCAACTGGCATCGGAAATGGGGCTCAGTCTTGTGGGATCAACCTTTGTGATCTGATGCCATCTCCAGGCAACTAGTGTCAGAATGGAATTGAATTAGAGTACACTCAGGTGTCTTCTACTGCAGAACTGATTGCTCGCTTGCTGATGGGGAGAAATCCCCACACAGTGTCAGAAGCATGTTGTGAGAGTACAATAGTAAAAACAGAGTTTTTTTTTTTTCTACTTATTTCTTTAGCCTCCCCCCTGCATTTTGTTTACAGAGACCAACACCATTACTGGAACATAATAGGAGCTGAATACATACTTGTAAAATGAGTGAGATAGAATTTTATCTAGCTCCCTTACATACCCCCAGAACCTAGCACTGGGCTTAGTGTAACAAATGTGTGTTGAATTTAATTGTAACAAACTTACACATTCCATTCTAGGAGTATAAAAAGACAGGAAACTGAATTTGAGTACTAAGTCTTTACAAGAACAAAATGTAGAACATTTAACCTAATTCTCTCTCTGTCCCCCCTCCCACACCTTGTTTGTCTCCTCTCTGTCTCTCTTTTCCCCGATCTCTCTTCTCCCTGCTTCTCTCTCTCATTATGAACCCTCCACAGTGTGCTCTGTCATGCACAGTGTGCTCTGTCATGCTGTCTGTCTGCTGTTCTGCTGGCTTGCTGGTTGGCTAGTCTGCTGATCTGTTGGTCTCCTTCTGGAGCCTGAGGTTTGGGGTTTATATGGATGCAGGATAGGGGGTGTGGCAGGCCCAAAGGCAACTTTTGGGTGGGAAAATAGGAATGCTGGTCCTCATTTAGGGCCCTGGGTCTTCAGGCTTGAGGGTGGGGCCTTTGCCTGGTAACTGCCCTCTTCTACCCAGTATTTCCCTGTCACCTGTCCCTATCATTAACAGTCTCCACCTCCTGCACCTACGACCCTTCCCAGCATCTAGTAACCATCCTTCTACTGTTTATGTCCATGAATTCAATTGTTTTAATTTTTGGATCCCTGAAGTAAGTGAGGGATGCAATGTTTGTCTTTCTGTGTCTCGCTTATTTCCCTTAACATAATGGTTTCTAGTTCCATACAAGTTGTTGCAAATGACTGGATCTCATTTTTTTTTTAATGGCCGAATATACTCCACTGTGTATATGTACCACATTTTCTAATCTGTTGATGGACACTTAGGTTGCTTCCAAATCGTAGCTATTGTAAACAGTGATGCAACAAACACAGGATGCAGCTATCTCTTCAATACCCTGATTTCTCTTCTTTTGGGTATATGCCCAGCAGTTGGATTGCTGAGTTATGTGGTAGCTCAATTTTTAGAGTTTTTTTGAGGAACTTCCAAACTGTTCTCCATAATGGTTGCACTAATTTACATTCCCACCAACAGTGTACAACGGTTCCCTTTTCTCCACATCCTCACCAGCGTTTGTTATTGCCTGTCTTTTGGATATAAGCCATTTTAACTGGGGTGAGACGATATTGTAGTTTTGATTAGCATTTCTTTGATGATCATTTATGTTGAGAACCTTTTCATATGCCTGTTTGTCATTTGTATGTCTTCTTTTGAGAAGTGCCTATTCACATCTTACATCCATTTTTAAATTGGATTATTGGATTTTTTTTCCTATGGAGTTGAGTTCCTTATATATTCTAGTTATTAATCCCTTGTCAGATGAGTAGTTTGAAAATATTATCTTCCATTCTGTGAATTGTCTCTACACTTTTTTTGTTGTATCCTTTGCTGTGTAGAAGCTTTTTAACTTGATGTGATCCCATTTGTCCATTTTTGCTTTGGTTGTGCTTGTGGGGTATTGCTCAAGAAATTTTTGCCCAGATCAATGTTCTGGAGATTTTACCCAATGTTTTCTTATAGCAGTTTCATAGTTCGAGGTCTTAGATTTTAAGTCTTTCATCCATTTCGATTTCATCTTTGTATATGGTGAGAGGTAGGGGTCTAGTTTCATTCTTCTGCATACGGATATCCACTTTCCCAGCACCATTTTTTGAAGAGACTGTTTTTTTCCCCAGTGTATATTCTTGGCACTTTTGTTGAAAATGAGTTCACTATAGGTGTGTGGATTTGTTTCTGGGTTCTCTATTCTGTTCCATTGGTCTATGTGTCTGTTTTTGTGCCAGTACCATGCTGTTTTGGTTTCTATTGCTCTGTAGTATAATTTGAAGTCAGGTAATGTTATTCCTCCAGTTTTGTTCTTTTTGCTTAGGATAGCTTTGGCTATTCTCTGTATTTTGTGGTTCCATATAAATTTTAGAATACTTTTTTCTATTTCTGTGAAGAATGTCATTGGTACTTAGATAGGGATTGCATTGAATCTGTAGATTGTTTTGTTAGTATGGATATTTTAAAAATACTAATTCTTCCAATTGATGAACATAGAATATTTTCCCATTTTTTGGTATTCTCTTCAATTTCTTATCAGCGTTTTGTAATTTTCATTATGGAGATTTTTTTTGCTTCTTTGGTTAAATTAATTCCTAGATATTTAAGAATATTTATATTACGTTGGTGCAAAAGTAATTGCAGATTTTGCCATTAAAAGCATTAGCGAAATCGCAAGTATTGTTGCACCAACCTAATAGCTATTGTAAATGGAACTACCTTTTTATTTATTTTTCAGTTTGTTCAGTGTTGACATACAGAAATGCCACTGATTTTTGTATGTTGATTTTTATATTTTACAGCTTTACTGAATTTGTATTATTAGTTCTAATAATTTTTAATAGAGTATTTAGGTTTTTACAAATACGAAATCATATCATCTGCTAACAATGATAATTTAACTTTTTTCTTTCCAATTTGGATGCCCTTCTTTTTCTTGTCTGATTGCTGTAGCTAGAATTTCCAGTACTATATTGAATAAGAATGGGGAAAGTGGGCATCCTTGTTGTGTTCCAGATCTTAGTGGAAACTTATTTTTTTTAATGTCTGAGGATTAGTTTAAAATTTTTTGCTTGCCAACAAAGAATAAATTAAGACATTTTAGAGATTTTACAGATCACGTTCTCTCATTAATAATCTAGAAGTGCTGAAAAATTAGCTACTTGAAATTTAAGAAACATTGTCTTAAGTAATCTTTAGATGAAAAAGTAATTCACAAGTGAAACTATGAACTATCTAGAAAGCTATAAAAATTCTTATAGAAAATTTTACATCTTTAAATGACATTACTGTTAGAGAAATAAGACAAAAAATATAAAAGCTTATTTATTTTGGAAAAGTAAGTGAAAAACAACATGCTAAATTAAAATAGTAGATAGAATACATGAAAATAGAATCTGAAAATGAAATGGAAAATAAAAATCAAAAGCATAAATACATCTGAAAATTGATTCTTTAAAAGACCAATAATATACATCATCTCATTGTGAGCTCAATTAAGAAAAAAAAGAAAGCTAAAACACATATTAGAATATAAATGGAGATATAACCTAGGTACAGAAGAGATGAAAAGAATTATAGGTGGCTACTCTAAGGTAACCAATTTGAAAACCTGGATTAAATAGATGTTTTCTTAGCAAAAAGTTAAATTACTAACATTGATTCATGAATAAGCTGAAAACTTGAGGAAACCAATTACTGTATAAAGATTGAAAAGGAGATTTAAAATGTATCATTAAACATGAACACATGATCAAAGGCTGATCAAAGATTATTTAATCTTTAGAGAAGAGATAATTTTTAATTCATTTAAATTATCAACCATAAAAATGAAAAGCTCTTAAATTTATTATATAAAACTCATATAATATTAATATCAAAGCATGGCAGAGTACACAAAAATGGAGCCTATTAAATTTAATGATACTTTGAATTATAAATGCAAATAAAATATTAGTTGGAATTTAGCAGTGAGCCATTCAATATGAAGGTGACTACAAAACTAGGAAATTTATTGACATAATTTATGACATCAAGATATGTATATGTATATATATGTGTGTGTGTATATATATATGTGTGTACACACACACACACACACACACACACACACACATATATATATATATATATATATATAGAGAGAGAGAGAGAGAGAGAGAGAGAGACTGAGTCTCACTCTGTCACCCAGGCTGGAGCACAGTGGCATGATCTTAGCTCACTGCAACCTTTGCCTCCCAGGTTCAAGTAAGCCTCCTGCCTCAGCCTCCCAAGTAGCTGGGACTACTGGCGTCTGCCACAATGCCCACATAATTTTTGTATTTTTAGTAGAGATGGGTTTTTGCCATGTGAGGGAGAAGAAAAGGGAAAAATCAGTTGGGTAGACAACTAAGGCTAGTCCTCAGAGAAATAGCCTGCCTGAAAAATCACAGCTACAGGCAAAATAGAGCAATATGGGAAAACTCAGACTGCACCTGCACAGATAAGCAGGCAAGACAGACAAGGCCCAGCATAGGAGCCTTTTGTTCTTAATTATACAAACAAGAAAAGCTGCACTTTCTGCTTACCTAGAGACACCCCTCAGCTGGATAGATAGGGGGAGTTTTGCAGACAGCTTTATAGATAAGAGAAGTTACTCAAACAGCTACAGAGATGAGAGGAGTTTCTTAAAAAAGCTTTTGCATTCAACTGTAAAATGGCAATCTGTCTGGGACCCTTCTCTGCTGTGGAGAGTTTTCTTGTTTCACTTACTAAACTTTTGCTCTAACCTCACCCTTTGTGTCCAAGTTCCTTAATTCTCTTGGTCGTGAGACGACAAGCTTGCATAACACCTTCTGAGACCAGTGACTTTCCACTGTTTCAGTGTTGGCCCAGGCTGGTCTCAAACTCCTGGCCTCAAGTGATCCACCTGCCTCGGCCTCCCAAAGTTCTGGGAGTACAGGCATGAGCCACCACGCCTGACCAGCATCAATATATTAATAGAGAAAACCAATTGAATATCAAAAGTTATTTAATAAAATTTAACAGATGTTTTAAATAAACCCTTATTAAAACAGAAAATAAAAGGTCTTACTTCAACATGATAGTTTTCACTTGCAAATAATGAAAGGCCCATTTTGACTATTATTATTCAACTTAAAAAATACATTCTAGCAAATTCAATAAGAAAAAACCTTAAATAGCACTAACATTGGTAAAGAAGAATAAGATTATTCATATATTTGCTAAAAACTTAAACCAAAGAAATCTGTAAGTCTTTTAGTCCTTTAAAGGGAAATTTTCAAATTTGTGAATGTGCAGACATCAGTACTTTTTAATATTTGCTATAACCAGCTATAAATAAAAATAGAATTACCCTATTCAAAATATCAATGAAAACTACAAAATAATCAGGAATAATCTTAAGAATAAGACCTATATGAAGAAATTCATAAAATATTTCTGAAGGGAACTAATTAGGATTTGAACTAAAGGAAAGACTTACGTTCTTAATGGGAACATGTAATATAATAAAAGTGACAAGTCTTCTCCAGTTAATATGTGAATTATGAGAAATTTTGGCTGGGGATGGTGGCTCAAGCCTGTAATCCCAGCACTTTGGGAGGCTGAGGTGGGTGGATCACTTGAGTCCAGGAATTTGAGACCAGCCTGGGCAACATAGCGAGACCATGTATCTACAAAAAATAAAAATAAAAAGACAGCCAGATGCAGTGGATCACACCTGTAGTTCCAGCTACTCAGCAGGCTGAAGGAGAATTGTTTAAGCCTAGGACTTTGAGGTGGCAGTGAGCTATGATCACACCACTGCACTTTGGGTGACAGAGTGAGACTCTGTTTCACCCCCAAAATAATTTAGTTAGAAGCCCTAATATCTTAGGGCTTTGGGCTTTGTGTTTGGAATTTGATTAAAGCAATCTACAATTTATTAAAAGAAAAATATTCAAGAATATAATATTGACTTAAGAATGTGTGCATCAAAAAAGAATATGTGAATAAATTAATTAAAAAACCTAGTGATAGGCTGCAATGTGCATGTATATGTGAATGTGTGCATGCACATGTGTGTATATGTGTTTATTAGGCAAAGGTACTGTTTCTGTTCACCATGAAAAGATGGTTTACTTTACCAATAGTGCTGTTAAAAGTGGCCATCTTTCTGGAAGAAAATAGTTGAAACTTCTCACTGTCCTCATGTGTAAGTATACATATACACTCACATATGAAGGCAAATAAATAAATAAATACATAATACACAAATTCATTAGTGTAATGGACTGAACGTTTATGTCCCCCCAAAATTCATATGTTGAAACCCTAACCCCACATGGGATGGTAGTAGCAGGTGGGGGCTTTGGGAGGTGTTTATGTAATAAGGGCAGAACCCTCATAAATATGATTAGTGCCTTTATGAAAGAGTCCCCTGTGATCTCCCTCACTCTTCTGTCAAGTGAGGTAACAGTGAGAAAGCTGCCATCTTGAAGAACAGGCCCTCACCAGTCACTAAATCTATTTATGACTTGGTCTTGGACTTCTGCCTCTGAAATGGTGAGAAATGTCTGTTGTTTAGAAGCCACCGAGTTTATGATATTTTGTATAGCAGCCTTAACAGTCTAAGGCAGTTAGCATCACTGCTATAGGAATATGATAACAATCTCAAGAAAAAAATTTAGTAGAGTATTTGTATAACTTATGAATTAGAAGTCTAAAAAAGTATATATTTGAATATGTTTGACTAGAGAAAAGGTGAAAATTTCAGTAAAATACCATGAGTGAAGTCAAGTATATGGTAGTTGGGAAGAAAACTTAGGTCTCATATAAGATAAAGTATTGATATTTATAATATATAATTAGCCCTTACATGTTGATAGAATAAGCAGCCATAAAAATAAGCAAGAGGTTAAAATACAGAAACCACAGAAGAATAAATTGGAATGACAAATAATAATGCTAAAACATTCTCAGACTCATGAGAAAATGCAAATGAAAATAATAATGAAATATCCCTTTTCACAAATCATGTTGGCAAAAACCACTGTGGGACTAGACTCCAGTGAGGTATGTCCTCACAGGAGGCCCAAGCACTTCCCCATTCACTAGCCATGCCAGAGGAACCGTTTTGCTCTCATATGTACTAAGGTTGCTTTTGGAATATTGTATGCCCTGGAAATTGCCAGCAACTTTCCCATGCAGAGTATCTAGGGATGATTGGGTAGCTGAGTTCAAATGTCTTTACTGCTTATTTATCTATATACAGTATTCTTAGTTCCTACAGAGAATGAGTATAGTAATCTGCAGATATGAATAATCTTGCCAGTTAACTTTTACTATAAATTAACAAATTATCTTATGCAATTTGTTTTCTTACATATTTCCTTGAATTGAATTAGTATAAACAGTCTATTGAAGCCCAATCCTTACAATGGCTTTTAAAACCCTACAAAATCTGTACTTCTGCAAACCAGTCTTGTTACTCTCTGATTTTATCTTCTATCACATCACTTTTTCTTCACTTTGCTCAATCTGCAGTGCCTTCCTTGTTTTCCTGGATCTTGCTAATCCTACTCTTACTCCTTGACATTTGTGCTTGTTGTTTGTTGTTCTTTCTATGCAAAATACTTCTCCCCATCTTCTTCAGATTTCTTCCCAGGGATGACCTCTTCCTCCTCCTCCACCCCTCCTCCCCCTCCTCCCCCTCCTCCCGTCCTCTCCTTCCTCCCCTCCTCCCCTTCCTCGCCTTCCTCCCCTTCCTCCCCTCCTCCCCCTCCTCCCCTCCTCCCCCTCCCCTCCTTCTCCTCCTTCTTCTTCTTCTTCACCCTACATTACATTTAGCTCAGCATTTGCAATGAGAAAGAAGATCCCCTTTTGTGTTAGGACTGGACGGCTCAGTCCAAACCCTTTAAGTGTTTGTCCCAGATACCTCCTTCTTACTGGGGAGATTATCGCTGATAACTTTTATAATATAATAACACTGCCCCCACCCCAAACCCCTCTTTCCCAATTACCCTGCCTTATTATTTATTCATATACATGTGATCAACAAGCACATGAAAACATGCTCAACATTATTGGTCGTTAGTGAAATGTATATCAAAACCCATTAAGATACCATTTTACACTCACTTTAATGACTCTTATCAAAGAGACAGATAATACCAAGTGTTGATAAGGAGATGGATAAGCTAGAATCATTATATGTTGGTGGTGATAATGTAAAATGATACAGTCACCTTGAAAAACAATTTGACATAACTTAGAAAAGTTACACATAAACTTACTATACAACTCAGAAATTCTACCCCTAGGTATGTACCTGAGAGAAATGAAAATTTATATTCACATTAATTTTATATATGAATGTTTTAGCAACATTACTCAAATTAGGTAAAAACTTGACCAACTGGTGAATGGATTAAAAAATGTGGTATATCTCTATGATGTAATATTATTTAAGAAAAAAAATGGAAGTACTGATGTATGCCACAGCATGGATGAATCTCAGAAACATTATGCTAAGTAAAAGAAGCCAAATGCGAAAGACTACATATTGATTTCATAAAATCATTTGTATGAAATGTCCAGAAGAAGTAAAATCTTTAGACATAGAAATCAGACCAGTAGTCACCTGGGTATGGGAGTGAATGACAACATTAACTGCAAACAGGAATTGAGTAAGAGAGTTAGTCTTAGTCAGTCTTACTGGGAATTTTGGGGAGTAATGAAGATGTTCTGAAACTACATTGTTGTCATGGCTACATAACTCAATATACTTAGAGTTGTATACTTTCAATGGATGAATTTTATGATGTATAAATTATGCCACAATAAAGCATCAAAAATGGAGTTTTATTAGTTCTTACTATATAGGCAACGGTATGGTCAAACTACAATCTTCTTTCTTGCATTAGAATGTATATTTGGTTTAATTATTTTTCTAGCATAAATAGTAAGTACTTGTCTTTTTTTTCTGGGTATTTATGTTTAAAAATGTTAGGTACTCTCTACTCCATTAGGGAACACTGTTCTATAATTAAAAAAGAAATCCTTTCTGAAATGTTTGCTTGGAGGCCCTAAATTGATATTTGCACATGTGCATATTTGCATATCAATTAAAAATGTAAAATTATATTTGGTAAAACAACTGGTTGTTTGGGGAAATTTAAAAAGATGTTGGACTAAGTATGTTTGCTTATTCATTTAGTCTTTGATCACCAAATATGTACTTATTGAGTTTCTATTTTGTGCAATAGAGGCATACAAATTTAAAAGCTGGAAGAAAAGGCAAGAAAGATCTGATTGACTTCAGCTTAGCAAAAATAATAAAACTGAGTCAAATGGCTTGTCCAGTGCAAAACCCTAAATGACAAAATCGGAGCAGGTTCTGGTTGCTCCCATTCTTCCTATTACGCTTGTGCTAAGAAGTGCTGTGTTCATGAGAATTTACCAGAAATTTGACGAGTTAGTAGATTAAAAATCATATTTAATCACTATCATTTTAGGACTAACTCGTATGTACATATGGTCAACATTTGTGTCACTCAAGAGACACTAGGCTTTGGATGAGCTAAGGGACTGGGAAATTTACTGATAACAAACAGTGTTTTTATATTGAGAAAGGAAAGCATTCTAAACCTTGTCACATGCTTCTTCCACATTAGCTTACAATGTGATTTTATCCCTTTTAGCTATAAATATTATTAAAGGGACTTGAAACTGACAAGCCTCCTTGACAATAGTTTATGAAACTTGATTAAGCATTTATTGATTGGCAAAGAAAACTGCATACATCATTTCTAAGTAAATCATTCTACAGTCTTACAACTGTTAAATGTAGCCCAGACATATGAATCCCCTAGTTTATGTATTCTACACTTAAACATATAAGATCAAAGCATGTTGCATCTTCATCTTACAAATAACAAAACTGAAATTTTTTATGTTAGAAATCAAGTTTTTGTCAATTTCCATGTTTTCACTGGGCTGAGGGGAGAGAGGAGAATGGAGGCCTACTTAATACAGATTGGACATTTGTCCAGCAGCTATAAAACAGGTGAATAATAGATTTTTTGGAGACTTTTATCCTAAATATACTTAAAGTGAATTACAACTAAAATGTAATTGTTTTGTAACAGCATCACACCAGTCTGGTTCAATTTTCATGTAACAAAGTTATAGGTTGTTTTTTAGTTGCCATGGTCTCTCAAATTGAAGGTCATGGAACCTGAGAATACCCAGATAAGCCAAGCATGCAACCGTGGAGGGAACCTAAGTGATCTGATCAAATAATGGGGACAGAATTAAGAAGTGAATCCTGGTAAGATCCAGGATCCAATCAGATTGAGCCCTGATGTCACCCTATAACAATTCCCAGGCAGATCATGCCTCTAGACAACACCTCATTGCTCTATCCTTCTAAAACTTGACCCAGCCTCCAGCTTGGAAAGAGAGACTTGGGTGTTTCCTCTTGTCTCCTTGCCAGCTGACTCACAATAAAGCTTTTCTTTTCTTAAAAGCCAGTGCCATAGTATTGACTTCTATGTGCATCATGCAGCAAACTCTTTAACTGGTAACTCTTTAAAGCGATTTGAATATTCCAATTGCAATGCTTAAGTTAACTTCATGGTATACATTAGTTCTTGGAAGACAATGGGTAAAATTTTTTTTGAAGAGAAGTCCAAATTTTTATAATTTATCTTATTATTATTTATTTTTTGAGATGGAGTCTTGCTCTGTTGCCCAGGCTGGAGTGCAGTGGTGTGATCTCAGCTCACCGCAACCTCTGCCTCCTGGGTTTATGCCATTATCCTGCCTCAGCCTCCCGAGTAGCTGGGACTACAAGCACCTGCCACCATGCCCGGCTAATTTTTTGTATTTTTAATAGAGACAGGGTTTCACTGTGTTAGCCAGGATGGTCTCGATCTCCTGACCTCATGATCTGCCCACCTTGGCCTCCCAAAGTGCTGGGATTACAGGCGTGAGCCACCACGCCTGGTCAATTTATCTTATTTTTAAAAACTTGCTTTGATTTCTGATGGTCAGTTTCTCTTATTAAGAAATAAAAACCATTGGCTATTTGCTGTTGACTGACCCTCACCTCCAACCGTGGCAAAATCATAATCCTCCAAGAAGATCAATTATCTCTGTCTTTGAGTGGGTCATCCACTAGAAACTACATTGATATCAAAATTCATGTCATGCTTCCAAAATACATTTGTTAAAAGACTTTACCATTGAGCTCAGTTATATAAGAGAGTGATTTTTAATATTAAGTTCATATATACTGTGTAATCATTTATTAATAAATATTAATATGCCAGGATTTTACTATATATTGGGAAACGATTAAAAAAGAGTCATTTTCTGCTCTAATGAAGTTTAAAATATCAGATAGGCAAACTTTTACATTTATATTATAAACAATTATAATATAGTAAGATAATTGATAAGTCCTGAGCTAACTAAAACTATATGAGTTTTGTGGTCTCTACTGTTGAGTTTATTAAAAATTGTTTAGACTTTTGTGGATATAATTTTTATTATTATGTTGATAGGGAAATAGCATTTGTGGTATATGGCATTTTCAAAAAAAATTCACTGTGGTATTTCTGGTATCTTATTCTCTGAATCCTTGCTATACCACTGTCAAAAAGAGGAGTCTGTTTTCTCTCCCTATGAACTTGAAAGGGGTTATATCTTCTCTGACCAAAAGAGTATAGCAGAAATGGTACTAGAAATGATAGTATGGAACTTCCATGGCTAGATCTAAAAATTATACAGCTTCCAAATGGCTGTCTCTTGGGATGTTTGCCATTGGAACCTAGCCACCATGTTGTCAGGAAGCCCAGGACAAACAGAAGGTCATATGTATATGTTTCAGTTGCCAGCCTCATCAAAAGACTCGGCTGATAGCTAGTGTCCACTCTGAGATATATGAGTAAGCAAGCTTCAGATGATTATAGGCCTCAGCCTTCAAGCCACCTCAGTTGATGCTTAGTGAGCCAGAGACCAGCTATCCCTTTAGTAGCCCTGCCCAAAGTGCGCATTTGTGAGCAAAATAAATGCTTTTAGAATTTGAAGCCACTAAGTTGGGAGATCTTGTGTATGGGTAAAAAAAATATAGCTGCAACAAAGTGTCTCCATATCTAAACTTTGGTTTATAAAAATATTTTTTATAGTTCTGTATAGTGAGAGAACAGTGTTTCTTGAAAATTGACCACTTGTACTTGCCTAGGTTTATCACTCCAAGTTCATTTCCTTTTTGTTTTACATGTACTGTTTACATTCTAGTGAAACATAGCTTCTCACTTTTATCTTTTGCTTGTTCATTCCAGAGATATTTATTTGATATCTACTATGTGCTGGTTGTTTTGCTAGAGACTAGTTTTCTCTGTATACACTATGTTTTCTCAGCTGTCCATTTTTGCACATATTGTTCATTTGGTCAGAATACCTTTCTCAGACTCTCACAGAAGTCTCTGGAAGGACTTCACCTCCCTTCCAGAACGAGTTCCAATGCCAGCGTTACTGTGAAGACTTTCTTTACTACACTGGTAGTTGCTATATCTTTCTCATATTCAGAACACTATACATATCTCTGTTATAGGTCTTACAAAGAATTGTAATTCTCAATTTTAGCCTAACTCCTCCACTGGATCTTGAGCTCTTGGAGGTTAAGTACAAATGTCTTTCTATCTATGAATCTTCCTGCACTTTATACCACAGTGTTAGTAACATATTAGTTTCATGATACATGATGGTCAAATATTGTTAAAAGATGTTTATTGATTAAGCACTGTATTTTCTGATGTTTTTTTCATTTTTACTATTTTTAATACTTTATATGGGACTACTGTCACTCACATGATAATAGCAATTATGCCATTTGCTAGTACTGAGCTGAAGTAATCAACAAATTTCATATATATCACCATGTACCTATAAGGTAGTAATAGCTTTTGACTATAATCGGCTTTACCCTTATTTTAACAACCTGCTGGAAGATTAAATATTTCATTGCTTATTTCTAAACTTCAGACTTTTTTTAAGCTTTAAACATGGTCCCATAAAAAAGAATTTTCATTAACCTATGTACTGCAACAATGAAAACAAGTCTCTTTTATCTACAACTAGGAAATATTCTTTCAAAAAAGGTTAAGAACATTTTCTGCTTAATAGGATGTTTCATCCAGATAAAACTGTGTGATTGTTAATAGTACTTTTCTATTTAATCATAAGGGTCTTTTGTATTAGGAGCTGAACTGTGATCATTTACTAAGCTATGGTTTACTGGAGCCAAGAAAGATTTGGAAGAGCTTCTCTTTTATCTTTTCTATTTCAAAGCTGAAGTACAGGTACCTTATGTACTTTTTAGTTGCTTACATTCTAAAAGGGCTCATTAAGAAACAATGCCATAAAATCAATGATGTTAGAGTTTCAGCTTTGTGAGTGTGACCCTTGCCAGACTTGTAGAAAACCTGAGGGCTTTTTAGGGAGAGCTTCCTAATGTGTAAGTGTTACTCAAATTGGTGCCCATGGGGAAGAGAGTGAAAAAATAAATAAAAGGACTAATTAAGACTTTGCAAAACAATCTTTAAGTTGTCCATTTAATCATTTTACCTAGGATCAGTTCCATTCTCAGTAATTAAAACTTATTCCTTTAAACAGTGGACTGTATGTTTCACAGAGATATGTCTAAAATGTATTGTGCATTCCTTTGCTCTATTAAAGAGAGCATACTGCATAGAATATAAACCTCCTCCATGACATCATGACATCATTTTGAACATCTGATGGTATAAAATTCTACAAGGCAGAATTGTCATCAGTGCTATTGAGTTTCTTGCCCCTAGATTAAATTATCCTAGATTGCTGTATTGTGCTTTAATTCTCTTGTCTCACTCCTTAAAAGCAGTTGTCCCAGCTCAGAGCTGCTGCTTTTAGCAGCCTTTCCCCAACACTCCTCCACCCCTCACTTTCTCACTGATGCTCTGTAACTCTATAACTTTACAGTGTGAAAGTCCTGGATTTCAATATTTAGTAGCTGTTACTTGACCTCTTTAACTCTCATTTTGGGAGGCTAATGGTAGTACCTCCTTCAGGGACTGTGGTGAGAACCAAATTAAAAATGCACATAAAGCACGGAGCTTTTAGCTATAATTTATTTAACTGCCTGTGGTAGCTTAGTAACAATAAAAGATACCAAAAGAAAGAAAGTGTCTAACCTTATTAAGTGAGAAACTTGAATTTTAAATACAATTTTGAAGTTATAAAATTGTTTTCCAGGGGGAACATTTATTGCTTTTCTATGTCAGGATGTTTGTAGAGGTTTAGAGGTACTTTTCACTAATATTTAAGTTTAATGATGTTTAGGAGAGTTGAGGATTACAGAGCTTGGCAGAAAAGTGGGTAGTATTGTATTTTTATATATTGAATTCACAGAAAAATGGGTAAGCTTATATAAATAAAAATTTTAACTACTGGAGGAAATTGCTATTAATAGTACTAATATTTTTTAATATTTAGTGAACAATACTGTAAATGAGTATAATGTTAGAAGACATTTTTCCTTAGTTTATCTGTATAAGTTTTACAACTCAATATCATTTTTAACTTTTCCTTAGCTTTCCCCAGTGAATCAGGGGCCAAATCTTGTGTATTTTACCTGCATATTGTCTTCTGTTCTCTTTTTCATTCCTTGTCATCTCTCAGGAAGGAAAGATGGGCATTTTCCGTATATGACATCATACTTCATAATTCTTCTACCTGCTGTTTCCTAGTCTCGCCTCCAAGTTCTTCAAAAAGTTCTCAGCAGATTGATCTTCCTAAGCTTAATAATGCCACTTTATTGCTGAAAACCTTTGATTGGTTCTCTAATATTTTTGCTACTTCAATTTAAGCGTTCAGAAATAAAGTGCATATTATGATATTTTAATGAATATCTAATTTTCTAAAAATAGTCTTTTAGCTATTTTATAAGGTGCATAATTTGTCTCCCCAACTAATACTGTAGGTGGTTGGTGGTTTTTTGTTGCTGTTTTTTTTGTTTTCTTTTTTGTTTTTGTTTTTTTGAGTCAGAGTTTCACTCTTGTTGCCCAGGCTGGAATGCAATGGTGTGATCTTGGCTCACTGCAACCTCTGCCTCCCAGATTCAAGCGATTCTCCTGTCTCAGCCTCCCGAGTAGCTGGGATTACAGGTGCATGCCACCATACCTGGCTAATTTTTGAATTTTAATATAGACGGGGTTTCATCATATTGATCAGGCTGGTCTCAAACTGGTGACCTCAGGTGATCCACCCACCTCGACCTCACAAAGTGCTGGGATTACAGGCCTAAGCTCTGCTCCTGGCTACTGTAGGTTTTGATGTTACTGCCTGTGCTTTGATATTGCATTGGTATTGTGTATTTAACTCTGTGCTGCCTACGATAATGACAGGTGCATAACTAATGGCAAGTAGTTTTAGAATAGAGGGAAAAATATAAGAAGTGTGGATAGAGAGAAAAAAATAAGAATTGTGGGAGGTAAAACAGCTCTTGCTTCTAATATCATAAGATTACTCCTAAATTGTGTCCTAAGGAGTGTGCCGGGAATTTGCATTCTAGTGCAACATTTTCTAATTGAAGGACTTTGGGAACCTAAAGTGAATTTGTGAAAGGTCAGTTTTTAGTTGCTCATAGCCACCTACCTTTCCTTGCTTACACCTTTATTGCTGACATTCAGCATAATGTGAAGAATATCTAATTAAGAGTCCTTTTTGGCAAGTCACCTTTAGATTCCTATATTTTATTTGTGCCCTAACATCTATTTGAAGTGTCACCACCTTGGAACCTTGAAGGTATATGATCTTTATTATAATGGCCACTATCCAAGGAAATAAGTGTTCTAAAATAAAAGGCAGTATGACAAAAAGTATCAGGACTTCCTCCTTCCCATAAGATCAACACTCATAACCTTCAGGGCGTATCTTTTCCTAGCCTTTATCTTCTGGCTAGAACATTAGCATAGACCCACAGCACATTTATAACTCAATTACTCAAGGCTCTTTCAGCCCGAAAGTTCTTATGCCAACATGATTTGGTGGTTTACATCTAGTCAATTAAAGTTTGAGGGGATGGGTTGATATTGAGTGAATCAGAGTTTATCTAATAATCCTTAAGAACAAATTAGAAAACCCTGCATTCATCTAAGGAGCATTTTGTTCTAGGATCACATCTCAAATGGAAAACTCCCAGGTGATTCTGAGGGGGATGTTGTCATAGTACAATTTATTTTTGAGAGGCATGGTTGATAGAATTGAAATAACTAAGGATCACTGGCATTTTGCTAAAATAGCCAGGGGAATCAGAGAATCAAGGTAATGAGAAAAAAGATGCGTGCTTGTTTTGAATTCTAATAAGATTGCCTTTTTGTTCTAATGATTTCTATGGAGATTGCTTGAAAAAGTATATGATTCCTTTACTACAGACCTATTTTGTCTAAAGATATCAGAAAATTTATGTTATGGTATTTTTGTCTTTTAAAAATAAACAAATTTTGCTTTTAAGAAGCAAAATAAAAAGTAGCAGATGTATAGTTACATATTGACGAAGGCTGGACATATTTAGATGTGATTTTTAAACATATCTGGCTGGAAACCTTATCCTTAACTATGCTGGTATTTGATTTGATATGATATTGACCAAAATGGATCTTGAATCATCATAATTGGATAGCAGTAACTCAAAGGAGTTAACTGTGAAGTCATTCTTTGTCCTCTTCCTTCATCCCCAAAGCTGATCATTATCAAGAGTCCAAATCTTGGAACTATCCAGTGAGTTCAGTGATCTTGACACAAACACTGCCAAGCAGCTTAGGGCTCATTTAAACCCTTCAGACATACTCCCCAGTTTAGATTGATATTTTAATACCAAACATCATTACAGACAAGAACTACGAGTTTACTGAAGGAATCTGAAGACAAGAATGAAGAAAAAACAATCAGAAGTGACCAGCAAATAACTTTTTTAAACTGACAGTTTGTTCTTACAATTAGGCCTTGTGTATATAATGTTTAGTGATTTCATGTATACCCCAATATTAATAATGACAGCACTTTGTCATTATAACAGGAGAACAGTCCAATTATGCCTGTTTTTATGATATTATTTTTTATGGTGACACCGTAGAAATCCCTGTGAGCATTAGAGTTATATTGAATTTCATTATGCTTAAACTGATGTGGCCATACATAATCTTAGGAAGAGTATATTCTGGCCAACTTACTAGAAATTGAGAACAATCAAGATTATATTTAAAGACTAGTAACAGTGGAAATGCCACAAAAATGATGTTTGAGGATCTGGTTTGTGACACAAGACACACAATCAGAAAAAGATGACTAGTCATGAATAATTGTATGAAAAGAATGATGTGACATGTGTTGTGGTTTTGAGGAGTTTAGCAAAAGCAATGAACACCATGAGCTGGTCTGATTAAGAATGGTATAACAGAAGTGGGGCTTCACTGCATAGAATTCACATAACATCCAGGGGAAGAAATAAGCAACATTCTGGGCAAAGAGGCCACTCTATGGGGAAAGACAGAGGGATAATATTCAAGGCATATACTCTAGTTGAAATATACATTTTGCTTTGGGGTTGGAGAGGAAAATAAGGCTGAAAAAATAAGAAAATCAGATAGTAGATGGGTGTTGTATTAGTTTACTAGGGCTGCCATAGCAAAATACCACAGATTGGATGGCTAAAAGGGCATAGATCTAGTTTCTCAGCGTTCTGAAGTCTAGAGGTCCAAGATCAAGGTGTCAGCAGGTTTCGTTTCTTCTGAGGCTGCTTTCCTTAGCTTGCAGATGACCACTTTTTTGGGTCCTCACATGGTCTTTCCTCTGTGCATGCACATCCCAGGTGTCTCCTTTGCAAGTCCAAATTTCCTCTTCTTATAAGTACACCATTCAGACTGGATTAGGGCCCACCCGAATGGTGTAATTTTTACTTAATTTCTTCTTTAAAGACTATCTCTCCAAGTACAGTAACATTTTGAGTTTTGGGCATATTAGGACTTAAACATATGCATTTTGGGAGGACACAATTCAGCACATAACAAATATGCATGTCAAGTTGATGAGGTTTCAGAGAGAGAATTAGTGACCTGGGATCTAGCTCTATCTGGGCCATTCCTTTTCTGTGTGGCCTTTGGTGCACTGTAAAACCATTTTAATCCTACACATAAAATGAAAGAGTTGAACTGAAAATCTTTAAAGTTTTCCTAAATAAAATTTTATATTTGGGGAAATTCCCCAAAATATGAGAATAGGTCATATACCCATAAGTCATTTGCTGTCACGAATCATCTTATTTATAGGCAATTGGACCAGGAATACCTTCCAGAGCCCTGCTTTCCAAATTATTCCTAGGAACACTGGTGTATTGTGAGATATCAGCAGATATTGCCCAAAAAGAATTCTGAGGTTATAACAATTCAGGAAATTGGAGAAATTACTGTAAGGTGGGACTTCTTTGAGCCTTTCGGTAAACCAGTACATACCATGGAAGATAGGGAAGCATGGTACAGGTGCATTCTCCTTTTCTCCTGATGGAACATCACTGTCTTCAACCCCTACTTCTCAATTTGTACAACAAAGTTATTTTATTAGAATAGATACACTTGTTCTCTGTAGCCTTTTTTTCACTGTTCTCTGCAAAATTGGTCGCCAAGAACATTTTAAACAATTTAGGGTATGTCATTATAAGTACATTAAAAAATTCAAATAAAAATTAATCTTACCTGGGGCCAAGGAGATAGGAATCCAGAACATAATAAAATATTTCAGTGGTCTCAATTATCTTGATTGTATGTAGTATAAGACTTCTATTCTTAAAGTCATATGACAGCCTGCAAGAGTATAGAAAATTCTCCGGATGCTTAGAGGGCTCTCACATAGTCTTTCCTTGTTACTTGCTCACTCCCTTGGTTGGCATCGGGGCAGTGGGAGGGGCGGGGTCTTAACTTAGGCAAACCAGTTCTGAACCCATAGGAGCCTGATAACACAAATGACTGAATTCCTAAGCTTCCTCTTCCCCTTCCCTTGAGGGATTTGAGAGGTAGAAGGACATAATGTTTACAAATTAATTGATTTGTTCTGTGTTGGTTCTTGGACTAGTAAATGAGAATGGAACTTAAGATGGAAGAATTTGGCCGGTTGCGGTGGCTCACGCCTGTATTCCCAGCACTTTGGGAACCCTAGGCAGGTGGATCACGAGGTCAGGAGATCAAGACCATCCTGGCTAACATGGTCGTCTCTACTAAAAATATAAAAAAAATTAGCCAGGTGTGGTGGCTGGTTCCTGTAGTCCCAGCTACTCGGGAGGCTGAGGCAGGAGAATGAGGTCAACCCGGGAGGTGGAGCTTGCAGTGAGCCGAGGTTGTGCCACTGCACTCCAGCCTGGGCGACAGAGTGAGACTCCGTCTCAAAAAAAAAAAAAAAAAAAAAAAAAGATGGAAGAGTTCAATTCCTCTTTATTGAGCTCGGCAGAAGTGCCAAACTCAGGATAACTTTGTCTTTGAAAAGTAGATAGAATATACAGTAATTCCCAAGTACATTTGAGCACGTCCTTCTCTATTCGTGTGTGTGTGTGTGTGTGTGTGTGTGTGTGTGTGTGTGTAAGGGAGGAAGAGAGGGAGAGAAAATTTTCCCTTCCTAGATAGACTTTATTTCTTAGAGCATCTTCAGGTTCACAGCAAAATTGAGCATACAGTACAGAATTCTCATGTATCCCCTCCCCTGCACTCCCAACACACACAGGCACAGCACAGCCTGCCAGCAATTAACATCCGCGTCAGAGTGGTATATTTGATAGACTCGTGGTTTTGTACATTCTGTGGGTTTCTTTGTAAATTTGCTTAGGTTTATTTCTTCTATCAGTTTTAACAAATATAAAATAACACGTAGCCACCATTATAGTCTCACACAGAATAGGTTCATTGCCCTAAAATTCCTCTGTTCCGCCCCTGAGAATTCTGTTTCTGCTGGTATTTACTGGTATTGCAACTGACTCATTCTGGAAGATGCTGTTCTAAAACAACTATGGCCTATATTATTGAATAGGTAAAAGCCTTGGCTCTGCTTTATTGAAGTCAGCAAAAGGATTAAAACATTCAAAATACATGCTACTCTACTGTCTACCACAACTCTTTGACAGTGTACCATGTGTCTCACTTTATACTTTGCTAATACATCTCAGAGGCCGAAACACCTAATTTATCACTCACATATGTTAGGCACTTTAAAGGAAGGTTTACTTACTTTTTCTGGAATGTGGGAGTGTGCAGCCCGAAGCTACATAGAGTTTGTATGTTCTGTTTTAAAACTGAATCTCATGGAGAATTTCAGTTGGAAGAGCACAGATGCTTCACCTGAGGTGCCCACACAGAGAGACATATGATGTGATCATGGAACATGCTGCAAGGAAATAACAGCATGAATTTCCATCTTCAAAAGTGGAGTCAGCATTTCAGTCTAGTCCTGATAAATATTAACATTTATGTACATGGGCATTTTTATTTTATATGAGTATCAAAAGAAGACAACAGCCTTCCTGAAACATACTGAAAGTATCTGCAACAGTTATAGCATATCTTTACAAAGTTTCAATTCCAAAGTAAGAAAACCTTATGAATGAATGAGGAATATTTTTCCAGTAGAAATCAATCTTGAGTTTAAAAAGCTCAGTGAAGTAAACTTGGATGAGGACCCCTGAGAGTACTTTCCCAAGCTACATAATACTGGGTAAGATACTAACTTCTCTGAGTTTTTTTGTCTTTGCTTACAAAAAGAGGAGGTTGGACTAAATGATCTTTGCGTTTTTCTATTCTTAACACATATTTTTGAACGATGCTATGTAGAATACAAACAGTGCTTTGAACGTCTTGTCTACGACAATTCCTCCCTTGCCTCTGTTCTCTCTCTTTCTTCTTTCCTGTTTTCTTACCATTCTTCCTTCTCTTTTTACAAATATTTGTGAAGTTTTTGTACCAGGTTCTGGTAATGATATTGAATGCCGACAGCACAATGACAAATAAGACAAGGACCTTGACTTTAAGGAGCTTTTTAGTTTAGTGAGAGAGACAAACAAGTGAATTGGAAATTATGATACAGTGAGAAAAGTGGTACTATAGTGATAAATACCATAGGAGGACACAAAAGGGATACCTGACCTTCTCATAGAGTTTATAAAGGGAGACAGCTAGTTTACAGCAGAATGGCCAAACCACTTATTAAAACAGTGAAACCTTTTGTCCTGGTTGATAAGTGGACTCTGCTTGTGCTCCCAAGTGCTTCTGCAGATACCTTGGCTACCCAGGTTTCTCTCCAGAGAGCTCCTTACCACACCTGGCAGTTACACTGCAACAAAGGAATTATCCCTGGACATGAAAGCCTTCCAAAATTCAGTTCTAGCACTGTAGTTTATGACCGTTCTGATTAGTCCTGGGTAACTGTGCCACAATTATTAAATGTTTTGAATATCACCCCTGGTTCATAGACTGCCTCTTGGAGAACTGGGATATAAAAAATATTAGGAGTGAAGGAGAGAAGTGTTAGAGAAGATGAAATAATATTCTACACAAAGAAATCAATGTACACAAAGGTCCGTTGGTGAGAAAGCAGTTGGTATATTTAAGGAACTGAAAATAGTTTAGTAGAACTGTAGCAGTGAGTAGTAGGAGGGAAGTGGTGGGAGAAAATTCTAGGGAAGTGGACAGGATCCAGATAACATAATGCTTTACAGTAAAGGCTAAGTCGTTTATACTGGTATTGTTTGTGTGTTTCTGAAGATGGCACTACTGTGTTTTAGTGGTGGTAGAAATTCTAGAAAAAATACTACAGAAAAGCTTAGATATCAGCATTGTACAGACATCTGCTACTTGTGATATGTGTACCAAAAATCGTGTTATAAGTTAGGACTGGTTACTATTCTGATACTTATTCAATTTTTTCCAGGGTGTGCTAAAAGCACCGTATCTACTTTAATACCAAACACATTACAGTACACAACTGCTGGGTCTCTCTTCCCATTCTATTAATCATTCCAGAAAGAAAGATAGCTGGCATCTGGAAAGTAGACAATAAATTATCTTTGTATTTCAGCCATTTTGAATATGGTATTAATACCGTTTTGGGGAGTGAACTGTAAGAGCTATCTAGAATAAAGTTTGAAGACTGATCTTTTTAAGGGCCTCAATGTTAGTAGTGTGTAATGAATGTTTAATGGGTGGATAAGTTGATGAGTAAATAAATGAATGATAACCCTCAATAATCCTAACCCTCAAGTATAAGGTGGTATAAGGTGGAATTATTTTTTTCCTTTTTTTTTCTAATTGAGACAGGGTCTTGCTCTGTTGCCCAGGATGGAGTGCAGTGACACGATGATCTCAGCTCACTGCAACCTCCACCTCCCAGGCTCAAATGATCCTCCCACCTCAACCTCCCAAGTGACTGGGGCCACAGGCATGTGCCACCACACCTGGCTAATTTTTGTATTTTTTGTAGATATGAGGTTTCACCATCTTTCCTGCTCCTGGACTTACGCAATCCGTTAGTCTCGGCCTCCCAAAGTGCTGAGATTACAAACATGAGTCACTACACCTGGCCTTCTTCTCTTTTTTTGATATTTCCTTATCTATGGGGAAACCTTACTGACCTAACCACTCCCAGCATCTTTTTCTAATCTCTTCTGCTCCTTATTAGAAAGGGCAAGTGACTTATTGGTGAGTTTTGGAGGAATGACAAGACATGCATTGCCCAATAACTTCTCTTTATAGCTATTGGATTCAGTTGCCACAAAGGAGCAAATCATCTCTCATATTCCCTGGACATGCTTTTTGTTAGTGGGAGGGAATGGGCAGGACAACGTTAGGAGAGATTTTCCCTGTTCCAATGCTTCCATGTCTGGGCACCCACATTTATCTGATTTTGGGGTTTGTTACTGGAATACCTGCTTGACAGGATGTATTTGTCATATTTTACAGTATCATCTTTATTAGTAATAAAGGTGATATTTTCAGCCCCATTTACTGGCTCTTACATCTTATATATCATTTGGTTTAAAAATCAGGTAGAAAATTTGAGAGCTATTTATTGGGTCCCTCCCAAATGCCATGATGCATTATTTTCACATAAGCCATAGAAAAATATTTTCCTGCTAAATTTAGAAAAGAAATATGTTTATGCCTTAGCATGATAGCAGATTTACTTTTTGCTTCATATAGTTGCATACATATACTTTTGTAAATGTGTAAAAATTCTGTTCAGTGATTAATGTTTTAATGGCTTCTTGTGCTTGTAAATTGTCTAATTAAAGGATCCCAAATAGAATTATTATTTTCCCAGAAAGAAGAGAGGGCTAAATATTCCTCTCCAAGTTCTCTAAAAACTTCTGTTTACAAAACATGAATGGTAACACTTGAACACATTTTTCTGTCTTTTCTGGTTTGCAAGCAAATCAGAAGTTTATGATGCTCTTTATCAATGTTAATGTTCTAATATATTCTCATATTACAAATCACAATACAAATTAAAGTTATGCAAAAAACCATAAGAAATGTTATACGAAACTATGGCAAACATTTGAGAATGTATAGGAAATGAACTTTTTTCCTAGTTTCCATCTAAGGGAAGTGGAAATATTGATAGACTAATTGTCAAAAAGCAGAGATTGAAATGGTCATTAAGGAAACATCATTAAAAATGGAACCTATCTGACATATAAATAAAAGATGATTCCAATGCTGTCTAAATTCATTTTATGAATTGATTATAACTTTAATATCAGAACTTTTAGTACCACCTTATTTATCATTAACTTCTATTTTACCAATAAGTAAGTAGAAGTGGAACTAGGAAAAATTCCATTCTTTTTTTTTTCATATTTCTTTTATTTATTTATTTATTTATTTATATTATTATTACACTTTAAGTTTTAGGGTACGTGTGCACAATGTGCAGGTTAGTTACATATGTATATATGTGCCATGCTGGTGTGCTGCACCCATTAACTCGTCATTTAGCAGAAACAGATATCTATATAGTACTTAGGAATCAGATTAACAAAGGCAATCAGGAGCATGCTAAGGAAAACTACAAAATCTCATCGAAGCAAATAAATTTCATGAAAAATCACACATTGTTTCTGAATGGGAAAGTGTAACATCATAAAAATGACCACTCTCTCAAAGCTGTTAGGTATTTAATGCAATGACAATTTGAATTCCAATGCAATTTTTTAAAAAATTGAATTGCTTATTTTGAGGTTTATGTGTAACATTAAATGTAATAGAAAGAAAATTATGAAAATGATGAACACATATCAGGAAAATTATAAGGCCACAATAATAAATGAATATGATACTGACATAAAAACAAAAAGTAGATCGGACAAAAAGGGAATCTAGAGAATTCTGAAACAGACTTTAAAGAAAATGGTATGTAATTTAAATTATAAAATGGACAGAGGATAGAAGTAGGCAACTAACAGATGAATAATTCTACATGGCTAACAAAAATCAGAGAAGGTGATCAAGCTCAATAGTCAAAAAAGTGAATGCTGAAGAAAATATGAAAAATTACTTATTTTACCAAGCTGCCAAAATTGAAATATTCTGTGAAACCTATGTTAGCAAATATGGTGGTACAATTTTATTTATCATTGGTAGACTTTTCTAATTTTATTGTTTCCTTGGAAAACAATTGAGTACCATTTGTTTAAGAAATTTATATTTTTCTATAAAACTACCCCATTCCTAGGAATCAACCCCATAAAAATAAAAATACAGCATATAAAATTACGGTTTGGAGACTTTATAGAATTCTTGCTCTTGGGGACAAAAAAACTAGGAACATTTAGAAGTTTACTGTTCACTGTAATTTCTAAATATTTGGAGATTTTTCAGGTATTTTTATTTTAGAACATAATTTCATCCTGTTCTAGGAAGATAATTTAAATGACTTCTATTTTTAAATTTTGCATCCCATTCCAGCAAGCATAGCTATTTTTACATTGTTGTTGTTAAGGTATATTAAGGTATGAAAGTGACTGTTACCTATTTTGGTTGAATGTTACCTGACAGCTTGGAAAGAATGTATATGTTGCTGTTGTTAAATGAAGTATGGTGGCTCATGCCTGTAATCCCAGCACTTTGGGAGGCTAAGGTGGGTGCATCACTTGAGCCCAGAAGTTTGAGACCAGCCTCAGCAACACCTTGTCTCTATAAAAAATTAAACAAAATTAGCCAAGTGTCTTGGCACACCTCTAGTCCTAGCTACTCAGGAAGCTGAGGTGGAAAGATTGCTTGAGCCCAGGAGGTTGAGGCTACAGTGAGCCAAGATTACGCCCCTTCACTCCAGTCTGGCAAGAGAACAAAACCCTAATAATAATAATAAAATAATTAAAACATGGAGTATTCTATAAATGCCAGTGAGATTAAGTTGATAATGGTAGTGCTCTTTATAAAATTCATGTCTTTATTGCTATTTTTACCTGCTGGATCTGTCAATTATTGAAAGAGGGATGTGTATTGAAGCCTTCATCTATTATACTAAATTTGTCTCTTTCTCATTTCAGTTCTGTTTTGCCTCATGTATCTGAGCCAAGATCATGCCACTGCCCTCCAGTCTCGCAAGAAAGCTAAACCCTATCTAAAAATAATAATAATAAAATAATTAAAACATGGAGTATTCTATAAATGCCAGTGAGATTAAGTTGATAATGATAGTGCTCTTTATAAAATTCATGCCTTATTGCTATTTTTACCTGCTGGATCTGTCAATTATTGAAAGAGGGATGTGTATTGAAGCTTCCACCTATCATACTAGATTTGTCTCTTTCTCATTTCAGTTCTGTTTTGCCTCATGTATCCTAAATCTCTGTTGTCAGTGAATGCATGTTTGAGATTATGTCTTCTTGGAGAGTGAAGACTTTATCCATTATAGTATTCCTTGTTCTGAAGTCTTCTTTGTCTGAAATTAGTACAGCTAATCTAGTTTTTTCTTGGTTAGTGATAGCTTGGTATATCTTTTTCCATCCTTTTACTTTTTTACATCCTATCCATCTTTATGTTTAAAAATGTCTTCTTATGACAACATATTTTTATTTTTTTCCATTCTAATGATCTTTGTCTTTTAGTTGATGTGTTTAGACCATTAACACATAACTGTTTACATGGTTGGGTTAATATGTGTCTATTTTGTAACTTTTCTATTTTCTATTTATTGAATTTTCTCTTTGTTTCCTTATCTTTCCCTCTTCAGCCTTCTCTGGTTTGATTTGGGCATTTATGACTCCATTTTATCTCCTTCCTGAGCATATCATTTATCTTTTTTTGTAAAAAATTTTAGTAATTCCCCCCACAGTTTACAATACATTTATAACTAATCAAATCTCACTCTAAATAACACTAGTCTGCTTTACATGTATTGCAGGTAACTTAGAGTATTCCAGATCCCTCCCACCCATCTTTGTGATATCGTCATCAGTCATTTCCTGTATCCATATGCTGTAATCACTCGATATATTTTAACGTTTATTGACTTAAACAAATAGTTATCTTTTAGATCAATTATGAATAAGAAAAGTCAGATTATTTTATTTTCATTTATTTCTTCTCTGAGGAACCTTTATTTTTAATGTAGATTCAAGTTTCTCAGATTCTCACTCTGAGAACCTGGTAAGTTTCTAAAGAGAAAGCCATTGAAATTATGATGACTGAGACCCCAGGAGTTAGTTTCTCACTCTTAAGCTCAGTCTCCATTATTTCCTCAAAATTACTATTTGAATGTTTCCACCATCTAACGGCTCCAGCAGCTTTTGTTCCAGGTAAGCAGATCACAGTTGTTGTATCTTTCTGGATGTGCCTGTCTTTTCAGATTCCAGAGTGGCAGTTCTCTGATAGGTTCAAACACATCATTAATTTTTACTTTGCTTCACTGTTTTCTTGTTGTAAAGACTGAATTAATGACTTACAGACTCTTTACATGACAGAGTTCTCATTGATATTTTGAAAACTGAAAAATGCAAGTTTCAATTAATTTTATAGAAAGAATTTATCTTGGAATAAAAAGGACAAAAAATGCAGAGAAAAAAATCTATATATGTGCTTGCATTTCTTTCTCTAGGAAGAATAGTGTGATTTTATGCTCACAAGGTTGTTAACACTCAGTATTTTATACAGTTGGGATAGTAAGGCAGTAGGGGAAATGATAACTTTGTTGTCGTAAATTTTTGTATCATGTTAGTTTACCTATTTCAAAAAGCATGTATTACTTCTTTAACTTGATTATTATTTAAACAGTTGTATAGTTTGCCGGTAGCATTTATTATTTTTGTTCATGAATAATGATGACAAACCTTTAAAAGTAAGAGAACTCTAAATGCTAAGATAAGAATATGACCTTTATTTGAGAAGCCAAGAGGTGCTGCTGATGAATTTTGAGGAAAGAAATAATATAATTTGAGTTCTGCTTTTAGAAAACTTATTTAGCTGCTGTGTGTCGAATGGTAACCCATTTCAGAGGCTATCAGGAACCCATTTTAGAGGCTATCAGAATTGTGATAACAATGTTATTTTATATTTGTTCAGTGCTTTAAAATGTTTTGAGCATTCTCACTTTTATTAACCCATTTATTTCTCAAAACTGTACTGGGATCCATGCATATAAGAGTTCTACCTTACATTTGGAAATGTGGACACTGGCTCTAAGCAGTTACACAACATGCTTTGACCACACACTTGGTATGTTTCACAAGTAGGATGTGAAACTAGAAATTTTGCACTCTGTTCTATCATGTTGCCTCTGCACAAAAATTAACAAAAATAGCCTTATATTTTTATGGATGTTAGAGTTTATAAAGTACTTTCCCGGGGCAATATTAAGGTTGTAATAAAAATATAATTGAAACAATGTATACCAAATTCCAAACAAAAATATATGGGAAAGATGAATAAATGAAAAAAGTGGGAAAGGAATTAGCATATGTTTCATCTTTAATTTTATTACATCTTTACTGAACTGTATGGTGGCTACTAAATCTGCATTTTTTAAATGAGGAAATTTAGTTTTAAGGAGGTTGAGTGACTTGCTCTAAGTCACATAGCTTTTCAAAATGCACTGCCAAAATTTGAACCCATGTTCATCTGATTCCATGTCTGATGCCATGTTGCCTTCTGTAAATGATTGAAGTACAAGGTCCTCTTGCCAATGAATGTATCTGTTAGATGTCTTTTCTTTTTTTTTTTTATTTTATTTTATTTTATTTTTTTTTGAGACGGAGTCTCGCTCTGTCGCCCAGGCTGGAGTGCAGTGGCGGGATCTCGGCTCACTGCAAGCTCCGCCTCCCGGGTTCACGCCATTCTCCTGCCTCAGCCTCCCAATTAGCTGGGACTACAGGCGCCCGCCACTACGCCCGGCTAATTTTTTGTATTTTTAGTAGAGACGGGGTTTCACCGTTTTAGCCAGGATGGTCTCGATCTCCTGACCTCGTGATCCGCCCGCCTCGGCCTCCCAAAGTGCTGGGATTACAGGCGTGAGCCACCGCGCCCGGCCTAGATGTCTTTTCAAGGAATTAAGCTATAGGAAGAAGAGTGTGGTAGACATACTGGTGTGCTAGCCATATACCCTTGCCGCCCAGCTGTGGGGAGTGCTATCAGCAGATAGCCTTCAGCTGTCAGCAACATAATGGTCTGTTTCCCCTGCCTCAGGAATTCAAGGCAGCTGCATCACAGCTCAAATTATTCCTCTGTGAAATGTTGCTCCTGGGCTGGGCATGGTGGCTTATGCTTGTAATCCCAGCGCTTTGGGAGGTCGAGGCGGGTGGATCACCTGAGGTCAGGAGTTTGAAACCAGCCTGCCCAACATGGTGAAACCCTGTCTCTACTAAAAATACAAAAATTAGCTGGCCGTGGTGGCCCACGCCTGTAATCCCAGCTACTCGGGAAGCTGAGGCAGCAGTATTGCTTCAACCCGGGAAGCAGAGGTTGCAGTGAGCTAAGATCACTCCAGCTTGGGCAGCAGAGAGACTTTGTCAAAAAAAAAAAAAAAAAAGAAAAAAAAAGAAAAAAAAGTTGCTTCTGTCACCTTTCTTTCACAGGTGTTGATTCCTAATATCTTGCACCTCAAACTGTCTCAGCATCTGCTTCTGGAGAACTCATCTTGTTACATTCGATAACAGGAGTGGTCCTAGCAGGCAAACAGTAGTAGTAAATTTGGAGTTGGATCAGTTAGTTTCTTTGGCAATGAAGACCCTATCACTGATAATAGGAAGAGCACAGACAGCCCCTAGCATAAGATGACACTCACTCTCACCAGTGGTATGCTCTGATGATGTGCCAGTAGAAGGAAATATACTTGTGGATGTGATGTATTAGGTATTTGAGAGGTATGGAGGAAATAGTAGCTAAAAGGATAATGATATTGGTGGCTGTTGTGTTATTGATGCATTATGGAGAAATGATAAGAACTGAGAAACCTGCTGTTGACAGCCAGAAGATCTTTTTGGCTGCATAAATAAGTTTCTTATCTCCATCATCAAGAGAGTGAAGAAAGCCGAGGGCTAATCCTAGGACTTAACAGAATAGATGGTCCTAAAAGACAGTTAAATGCCTAACCAAGGCAGGCTTCTCATGTTAAGATGAAGGACCTGGATGGGAAAAATCTAGAATCCTAATATATGGGATAGAATTTATGTGAGAATGCTCTTCAATATTTTGATACCTTAGAATCCACTGAATCAGGAGTCCTCAGCCCCCAGGCCATAGACCGGTACTGATCCAGTGGCCTGTTAGGAACCGGGCCACACAGCAAAATGTGGGTAGTGAACAAGCTAGCATTAACGCCTGAGCTCTGCCTCCTGTCAGATCATCAGCAGCATTAGATTCTCATAGATTGCGAACACTATTTGTGAACCGCACATGTGAGGGATCTAGGTTGTGCCCTCCTTTTGAGAATCTAATACCCAATTATCTGAGATGGAACAGTTTCACCCCAAAACCATGTCCCCTCATCCCCATCAGTCCATGGAAAACTCAGACCGGTCCCCTGGTGCTAAAAAGCTTGGGGGCTGCTACTCTGAACCTTCTCATACACTGAGGAGTCTGGCTCCAGGAAAAAATTCTGTGTGTGAGTTTCAAAGCTTTGCCTGGCACATTTCCTTGGGGGCAGCTGCCATCCCCACCACAGACTTGGTGTGCAGCCTGTGTATGGTAGTTTTCTGGAGAGAAGTACAGTCAAGAATCCAGGTACCCTGGGAAGGCCGTGCTCATACTCATATCTGCATTTGAACCAAAGTGCCTCTACTAAGACTTATTTATGGAGGAGGGGTGGGGAGGGATCCTTGGCTGAGGCATTTTTCTCCACTTTGGCTAAGTACCTTTCCACTTCTAGCCTTTCCCCCTCTCCTTCCCTCTGGCCCATGAGTTCCTACAGTGGTAGATGTCTTTTGTTCAGGTCTCCCTGCATAACTCTGTTTTTTTTGGCCATCCAAGGAGGGGTGTGAAATTGCCAACAACTGTGTTGCTCCTCTGTCAGTGAAACTGGCAAAGCAGAACAGTGCATCATGAGAATTAGACAGGAGGTCTCCTGGATTTCTAGAGTAGATCCTAATGGGATACAGGACATCTTTCCTTGGATTAGTAATTGTTAAGGACCGTGACTATGATTCAGCCAGGAAGGGCTAATCATCCTGCTTGTGGTGACTTTGATATGGACCTGGTTTGCTATTGCCTTAGATTAACTGGCTATGATCACAGCCCTTCAATGTTCAGTTCATGATGGGGTAGCCTATTCTCTCTCAGGCTTCTTGCTTACATTATTGTAGTAGGTGAATAAAAGCCAGACTAGTACTTTCAGTTTGGCTCATTGTCCTAACTGACTACCTCTATATCTCATTGCATAACTCAACCCCCACCCCCTTGCAGGAGGACAAAGGGGAGCCCTTTTTCTTGAAAGGCAACATATGTCCTCTCAAGACACATCTCTATGTTCTATAAATAGAATTAAATTACAGCATCATTTGCGTGGGAATGTGATGAGCCTGATGAGAGCGGAGAGGGAATGTATATTCCAAAGGATCTGTGAGAATTAGCTGTCATATATTAGCAGGAGCTGGAGTAATAAATGTGGGAATGAATTAAAAGTTGGTAGATCAGGGTGGCTACAAGACACATTTGAATAGGGAATCATTATGTACACTCAGAAGCACTCTCTTGACATATATAACACTCTGGCAAGAACTGTAGATGATACAAACTTGCTACTAGTATTGGTCCTAGGGCACGCAATAAACAATAGCCCTCAGGGAGGTGAGTGTCAGAATCGTCATGGAAGAAAGTGGAGGAAGAGAGTAAAGATCTTGGGAAGTGGACATGTTGCGAGAGATAAACTATGTATGGTCAGAAGACCTGCCAGATGATTATATTTTTGGAATAGATCAAGAGAACATAGCATTTCACAAGGCCATAAGGAATATTTTGGTGAGAAAGGCAGAAACACACTATAGTTATTCAGTGGTCACATTCCGTAGATGGGGGCTGATGGCAGACTAGGCTATTACAGGTTTTGGATCACTTGAAAGGAGGGAGAAGATAGGACTCTGAAAAAATAGAGGCCAAGTATTGGCACTTGACTGTAAGAAGCCAGGGATCCATAATTATTATAATAAACCTCAGAGTCAAAATAGCAGCTGAGGGGGCTGATCTACAAAGAGTTGTAGAGATGGTTAAGAACATAGCTGCCCTAGAGCAGAATAGATGGGCAGCTGTCAGTTTCTTACTTAGCTTGTAACAACAGATAAAATCAAGGATAGATTATTGAGAGGCTGAAGGCATTCTCTTAAATGAAAAGCCAAAATTTCTTGCCAAGTTTACAAACATTGGCTAGTTTCTGTGCCTGAAACCCATAGACTAAAGAAGATGCTGTGCCCCCAAGGGAAAAGACCCTGCAAATACCACAGCAACTATAAATAGTAATAATTTTTTCCAGTTTTCCTCAAAGGAAACAATAGTCTGCTATTCGGGCAATTACTCACATGGAAAAAGGGAATACCTAGACATTTTAAGGACTGTTGTACATTGGAGTCTATGTTAATAATGATATCCAGAGAGCTAAAGCAATATCACCACCCTCCTGTTAAGAGTGAGGGCAAATGGCGATAGGGCAATGAATGAAGAAAAGTTCTGGCTTAAAATGGATCCAGTTTTCAACTAGGCTATCCAGTTGCAATCCCATCAGTCCTCAAATATGTAATTGGGATCGACATGCTTTACAGTGGGTAGTGTAACTCCCACATTAGGTCTTTAGCCTTTGAGGTAGTAGCTATCATTGTGGGAGAGACCAAGTGGAAACCTTTGAAATTCTTCCCTTACCCAGGCTTTGAAGTAAATAAAAATCAATATTGTATCTTGGGGGATAGATCTGGGGGTTGGAAATTAGTGATTTTAAGGATCTAAGCATACAATGGTGATTTTCCTCATTATATCTATGCTTAATTCACCAGAATATCCCCTTCAGGAACAGGTGGATCCTGGAAACAACTGTAGACTACCACAAGTTCAACTAAGTAATAGTCAAAAGTCCAGCTGCTGTGGCAGATATGATATTTTTGCTAGAACAGAGCAAAATGGCTTTAAATTTAATCTCAGCATCTGCTTCTAGAGAAGCCAAACTTGCAGCAGAAAGCAGAGAGAGACTGTAGAATTTGGCAGTTTGTATTCTCATTTCACAGGGAAAGCTAAGACAAGTGTAGTCTAGAGTTTTTTTTTTTTTTAAAGTAAGTATGGCTTCTAATTTATATGTGTATGTATATGTATGTATGTATGTATATATAGGGTGTATGTAGATACTCCTTCTCTCATATTGACACATGTAAACACATATCCAGGCTTTCTGTTAAAAGCTAGTTATTCACACCCATTTCAGAGTTTCTGGGCATTGTTATGCATGCAATGCAGGATGCATGGCGTATCAATACTAAGCTGTTAGAAAAAAAATGAATCATAAGTAATTTATAGGATATCGAGTGCATCCAGCTTTCTTTCAACATTTTTTGTCAGACTGACTTACATGTATATTACATTATTATTTGAATGCATTTCTTTATAGTATTAAGGAAAAAAGTTATGCTGGCACAAGATGCTTCCTGTGGGATGGGAGCCAAAGGATAAATAAACAGTTAGAGGCTTTTGATGGGAACCATAAGGGCTTACAACTGCTAATCATAAGGGACTCTGTCATCTGTCACTTTATGAACATTTGAGCTGCAAGCATAGTGGACAACTTGTATTTGTTTCTTCAGTTAGAGTCACCCTGTCATAACCTCCTTTACTGATCTATGACATTTTTTTCCTCTTTGTAGAATGACTGGATATTTTTCCAGTATTTGGCTGCTTCAGTACTGATAACTTTAATTTGGCTTATTTCTAATGATTCTCTTTTTGAACTTTTTGCTCTTTCCTCTGCCAGTAACAGCAATCAGGGCTGCTGTATAGGTTTTTTTTTTTTTCAGGTAGTTCCCTGAACAAGGGCCCCTGAAGAAGGAGCACTTGGGGGCTGAAATCCTCCATGAAACTTGTCTTGTTACTGTGTCACTCTAAGGAAAGAGGTGACCTTCTGTGATTCAGCCACTCAGACATGGCACCTTTTGCTAATTTACACAGGATGTTTTATATGACTCTGCCCCCAAATTTGGCTCAGGTAATAAAATTGCTAATTGATATTTCACTGTTTAATCATACAAAATAAATTAGGGTTTTGTAATTTCTGCTTACAATTTGATATAATTTTATCGAGTAAAATCTTATAAACATAATTTTAAAAGGCAGGTTTTCCTTTATTAAGCTTTTCTTCTTTGTAACGTTTACATTCTATGAGCTTATTTTCAAGTGAAATATTAGCCCCTAATTTCATAACTTTTTCCTATGGGTCTTTCTAAACTATTCCAGCTCTAATCACTGGTAATAACTTAGAATTTTACAAGTAATTTATTCCTTTTAATATAAATTATAAGCTCAAATATATATCTATTTTTAAAAACTTACATAGTCTAGCCTTGAGAGAAGATAGTATTAATGATTTGAGGCTTTTAACAGGAGCAAGGAAGAGGGAAGAAAGGCTTATGTGTTAACCAAAAAGAAATTTGACGTCTGTCCCTTTTTCACTTCCCAAAGCCCTTAGGCACTAGACCCAAAATTCACAAAATGTAAAGCTGCATGAAAACAAAGGTTTTAATTTGTTAGCACATAAAATAGTGCCAGCACAGAGCAGGTACTCAATAAATAGTTGTCACATAAATGGAATTTAGTAAAGCCCTTTAAGTGCATGCTTCAAACTTGAAAAATATCTAAACTTTATAAATAATAATTTCATTACTATTTCTTTTTCTCCTACAAAAGCTGAGCCTCAATTAAGCAGACTTTACCTGCTATATATCTAGTATCGATAGCAGGGATCTGGGCAGTGCAAAATAGCATTTATTGCAAAGGATTTTTATGAGGAATACATTTATATGAAATAATGTACCTTTCAGGCACCATGTTTAGGACATTATAAGTTTTTAATATATGTTAAAATACAAATAGTCCATATCCATTTGAGTAAATGTCATTAAACAAACTTTTTTGTCATTAAACAAGTGAACTTTTTTTTCTATATGCTATGTAATACTTTTTCTGTAGCATCTAACACTAAGTAGACTGGAGTTATGCAGTTTGGGTGTTTCCAATATTTATTGTTCAATAAGTAGGTAGAGGAGAATGAGTTATTTTGGATCACAATACATAGTAGTCATAGAAACAAAACAATGAATTGATGCTACTGTTTACTTTCAGGAGTTCAAACCAGTGTTGAGTTCAGAAACATGCGAGAAATATGGATGGCATATTGACTATATGTGTCAATAATATGTTAAATGTTAAAAATACATATATAATGTATTTTAGCAATCTCTGTCACATTTATATCAATAGTTGGTTATGCATAAACCTTGACCTTAGAAAGATACGTAAGATACTGCACCCAAATTAAATTATGATTGGTTTATCCTCCCCACAAATAGAAAAATGACTTGAAAATGCATTATGACCATGCATTTCTTCCTCCTAAATCTGTTATAAAAAGGATGCATTATAGCGTCTGAAACCAAAGTACATTGAAAGAATTAATGGGATTCAGTGTCTCAAATGAAGTGCTGACTAAACAGACGTAGATTTTGATGTTTAAAGGAAAATAAATCTATACCAAGAGAAAATTATATTTTGGGTTTAGAAGACATTATTTACAGAACCAGTCCTACTTCTTGAAGTGACTCAGTACCCAAAAAAGTCATTACTAAGGCCTATACATAATTCAATAAGCTGATTTAACTCTGGATATTGCTTTGAATGATATCCAATTTTAATCTTAGTAATAGATGTATTTGTTGTTTATTTATTTGTTCATTATATTGTCATGTTTTCAAGTTTGAGAATCTGTAATAGCACTTATATTTATTTTTTATTCATGAAAATGACTTCAGTGATTTAATTTACAGGAATTTTCTTCTCAAAATACCATGAAAACTCTGAATCATTGCTAGTGGTAATGCAAAAATGGTATAGCCACTTTGGAAGAGAGCTTGGTATAGTCGTATCATACAATTCAATAATCATGCTAGTAGGTATTTATTAAATGATTTGAAAATTATTTCCACACAGAAATCTGTACACAAATGTTTGTAACATCTTTATTCATAATCACTAAAAACTGGCAGCACTAAGATATCATTCAATATATGAGTAGATAAACTATGATATATTCAAAAAATGTTATTCTACTTAACAACAAAAAGGAATGCATTATCAAGCCATGCAAACACATGGATGAATGTTTAAGGCATAATGTTAAGTGAAAGAAGCCAATCTGAAAAGGCTACATGCCACATGATTCCATTTCTATGACAATCTTGAAAGGCAAAACTATAGAGATAGTAAATAGATAGTGATTGCCAGGGGTTCAGGGAGGGAAGAGATTCAAATAGATGAAGCGACAGGGGATGTTTTTAGGGATGTTTTAACTGTTCTGTATGATACTGTAACAGTGACATGACACTATGTATTTGTCAAAACTTGTAGATCCTTACAGCACAAAGAGCAAATCTTAATGTATGCAAACAAAGGAATCATTTAGGAAGTTGGAAATTCCAGAATGAAACTTAGACTGTGTTGCTCAGAGTTATTCAGAGAAATAGACCACTAGGAGATATACATATAGGTAAAGACAAAAAGAGAGAGATTTATTTAAGGAATTATTTGCTCACATGATTATGGAGGCTGAGAAGTCCCAAGATCTGCAGTCAGAAAACTGGAAACCCAAGAAGGCCAGTGGTATAATTTCTGTCTGAATTTGAAGGCCCAAGAAACAAGAGAGCCAGTGGCCTAAGTTCCAGTAAAAATGCTGGCAGTCTCAAGACCTAACAAGAGCCAATATTTCAGGCCAAAAAAAAAAAAAAGACCAATGTCCTAGCTCAAATAATCAAGCAGGAGGAATTCCCTCCTGCTCATACTTTTTCTTCTAATGAGGTCTTCAGTGAGGTCTATGTCCCTTAGAAAGGGAAGTCTGCTTTGTTCAATCTACCAATTCAAATATTAATATCCTCCAGAAACACACTAATAAACATACCCAGGATATTGTTTGACCAAATGTCTGGGCATCTGATGTCCTGGTCAAGTTGGTAAATAAAATTTAATGATCACACAGAGTATAACAAAATAATCCAACTATTACAAATGTATAAAATAACCTCACTGAAAATGTATAAAAAAACCTCACTGGTAAAAAAATATGCTGATCCAAGTAACTTGGAAATGAGTGTAGACGCTAAGAGTAAAGACAAAATAAATGAACATAAACACTGTATTCTGACTGATAAAATAGCTTCTCATGGAGGTACAGTTAATAATTCTGAAATCACTATACATGCATACTAGAATTGAACAATTAAGTAAATAGATAAAGAATGGTAGGAGCCACGTTTCTTACTTTTGGAGTGAGAATTATAGACAAGTTAAGAAGGCTGGAATGAACCACATAGTAATGGATTAGAATTTGAGACATAAATATGTAATATAGATACAGATTGTTACACACAGAAATCTTTATGCATTTGTGTATATACACAGGTTAGTACATATGCATATTTTTCTTTGTTCGGTCAGTTGAGAGTTCCTAGAAGCTAAGATACACCAGTAACAATGAGCACACCCAATACTCAGATGTTGGTTTATAATATTATTCTCCAAAATAAGAAGCCAGGTCTTTTTGGGGAAATGGCTGATTCTAGGTTTAAGGCACATAATATACAAGATGACCTGGAGCATTTTGTAGTGCTAAACACACACACACACAAACACACACACACTAGAAAAGACTGAGATCCAAAGGCCAAAGCTGTAACAATTTGAGCAATGGAGTAAACATTACTATTGGATTATAACCCACCATTCTAGGATCTGTGGATGCTTAGTTAATCAAACAAAGATCCTTCTTTGCTTATTATCAGGAGCGTACAATGCAATGTAATTGTGTAATTTGACCAATTTTGTAAAAATAAAAGAGGATGATTGTTTTGTTGTGGAAAATATAAAGGAAAATAATCCATCTTGTTTTTCTGAATTTTTTATATTTATTTCATCCAGGTATGCTGATGGCTGTGAGGACAAGCTATATATATATATAACCCTTTATTTTAAGTTCGGGGGTACATGTGAAGGTTTGTTACATAGGTAAACTCATGTCATGGGGGTTTGTTGTACAGATTATTTTATCACCCAGGAATTAAGCTTAGTATTCAATAGTAATCTTTTCTGCTTCTCTCTCTACTCCCATCCTCCACCCTCAAGAAGACCTCAGTGTCTGTTGTTTCCTTCTTTGTGTTCATAAGTTCTCATCGTTTAGCTCCCACTTACAGGTAGCAACGTGCAGTATTTGGTTTTCTGTCTCTGCATTAGCCTGCTGCATAGCTTGCTCCAGCTCCATCCATGTTCCTGCAAAAGACATGATCTGGTTCTTTTTTATGGCTGCATAGTATTCCATGGTGTATATGCACCACATTATCTTTATCCAATCTGTCATTAATCAGCATTTAGGTTGATTTCATGTATTTGCTATTGTGAATAGCGCTGCAATGAACATTTGTGTGCATGTGTCTTTATGGCAGAATGATTTATATTCCTCTGAGTATATACCCAGTAATGAGATTGCTGGGTCAAATGTTAGTTCTGCTTTTAGCTCTTTGAAGAATCGCTATACCGCTTTCCACAGTGGCTTGCCGGATCTGTTATTTTTTGAGTTATTATTATAGTAATAGCCCTTCTGACTGGTGTGAGATGGTATCTCATTGTGGTTTTGATTTGCATTTCTGTAGTGATCTGTGATATTTAGCTTTTTTAATATGTTTTTTGGCCACATGCATGTCTTCTTTTGAAAAGTGTCCTTTGCCCACTTTTAAAGGGGCTATTTGCTTTTCTCTTGTAAATTTGTTTAAGTTCCTTATAGACACTAGATATTAGACCTTTGTCAGATGCACAGCTTGCAAAAGTTTTCTCACATTCCGTACATTGTCTGTTCACTCTGTTGATAGTTTCTTTTGCTGTGCAGAAGCTCTTTAGTTTAACTAGATCTCACTTGTCAATTCTTAATTTTTTTTGTGATTGCTTTTGGTATTTTTGTTATGAAATCTTTGCCCATTCCTAGGCATTGCCTAGGTTGTCTTCCAGAGTTTTTATAGTTTTTGGTTTTACATTTAAGTTTTAATCCATCTTGAGTTGATTTTTGTATATGTTGTAAGGAAGGGGTCCAGTTTTAGTCTTTTGCATATGGCTAGCCAATTTTCTCAGCACTATTTATTTGAATAGGGAGTCTTTTCCTCGTTGTTTTTGTCAGCTTTGTCAAAGATCAGGTAGTTGTAGGTATGTGGCCTTATTTCTGGGCTCTCTGTTCTGTTCCATTGATCTAGGTGCCTATTTTTGTACCAGTACCACATAGTTTTGGTTACTGTACCCCTGTAGTATAGTTTGAAGATGGGTAACGTGATGCCTCCAGCTTTTATGAACAAGCAATACTGGTAGAGATTAAAAAAAAAAAGCAGATACTGGCCAGAGAAACAATGACAGCACATTGTGAAGCACATGATGGAAATGCTTATATTTTGTCTAAGCCTTTAGTTAATGATATTTATTGATGTCTCATAATATTCCAGGCACTGTCCTTCATGTTTTTCTCATGCTCCCCTCACTATAATTCTACAAGGTGCTGTATTGTTTCCTGAGGCTGCTGTAACAAATTACCACTAACTTAGTGGTTTCAAACAATAAGAACTCACTCTCTTGCAGTTCTAGAAGACAGAAGTCTGAAATCAAAATGTTGGCAGGATCATCCTCTCTCTGAAGGCTGGAGGTAAGAGTCCTTCACTAACTTTTCAAGTGTCTAGTGGCTCCAGGCATTCTGTGCCTTGCGGCTGCATAACTCCAGTCTCTGCCCCATCTTCATGTAACCTTCTCCTCTTTTGTGTCTGTGTCTTTTCTATCTCTTTCAGGGACAGTGTTATTGGATTTAGAGTCATTTATATAATACTGAATTATCTCATTTTGAGATCCTTACTTAATTACATGTGTAAAGACTCTTTTTTCCAAGTGAGGTCACATTAAAGGTTCCAGAGGTTAGGACAGAGACATGTGTTGTTAGGGACCACCATTCAACCCACTATAGGTGGGTTCCAGAAATAATAGTCACACTTTAAAAAGAAAGAAACAAAGACTTATAAAGGTTAAATAACTTGCCTAGGGTCACACAGAAAGAAAGTGACAGCATCAGTAAATAGGCCAAATGGCTTGATACTGCTGGAAATCAATTAATAATTACTACCTGTAAAAGGAAATAATTTAGGGTATCTTCCTCTTTATTTAACCTACATAGGCTGACTCATTTATCATAGACAGGGACCTATTTCAAGTGATAGTCAGAAAACATTTAACCTCTTGTTATCTCTCACTTCTACCTGCTGCTTTCATGGCCTTCCTAACTGGGACTGCCCCCAGTTTGCCTCATTCCCTTGTTCTTCTGTGCTGCAGATGTTATTTCTTCCCGCTAAACATCCTTCATTTGCCTTACAAAGCCTTCATCATTCTTCCCTTGCTCTTTTCTATCTAGCCATTCCTCCAATGACCAACCTCACGCCAAAGTGATCTATTTTCAGTGAAGTGTATACATCCTAAGCTGGGATTTTGGACATCTTGCTCCTTTGCCTGGAATGATTCTTCATCCTGTTTTTGCTTCTTCTCCTCAACCATATCTACTCATCCTTTGAATGTCAGCTTAGTATTTGTTTCCCCAGGGAAGCCTTCTACTTCTTATCAAGGGTGGGATAGATGTCCCTCATCTCATGAGTGCCCATAATTTTGTTATCACACTTTTTGCTTTCTTTGTAATTGTCTGCTTACATCTCTGTGTCCTTTTATTAATGTGTAGGTTTTGGGAGGGAGAGACTGTTGTGTTCATCCCTAGTGTCCTTAGCCCCTTGTACATAGCCTATAATTGAATTATCACTGAATAAACATTTGTTGAGTACATTAATGAGTAGGGAAGGTGAGAAAATAAATGTCCACTTTAGTTTAGTTGGGAAGGGGCAAGGCTTCAGAAATGTGGGGGACATTTTCTTTCCTCACAGAGGAATGTAATTCTATTCTAGATGTGATTATAGCTACTCTATTTTTTTTTTTCTTTAGAAAGACAATAGGAAATAAGGTAATGAAGACAGTAGGAAATAAGGTAATGAGCCCAGACTTTAGGTTTGAATAGCCCTGCCTTCATCTCTATTTCTCTTGTATTCATCATTAAACACATAGTAACAGATAACTAATTTTAATAAATCTGTATACTATGTGTCATTTAACCCATAATAATCCAGGGTGGTGATACAGCCATGGGTTCTTGAGCCAGTTTATCTGTGTTTGAATTTCAGCTCTGTTACTTATGCAAGTTACTTAATGCTTATGTGCTTCAGTTTTCTCATCTGAATAATAGGATAGAGACAATACTTACAGGATTCTTGTAAGGATTAAGTGAATTAGTATATGTAAAACACTCAGGAATGCACATCGAAGGTGCTTGGTATATGTTAGCTGTCATTATCCACTAAATGTAAGTTGGATGAGGCAAAACCCTTTTGTATTTTGCTTACTGCTTTTTTCTTCAACGTATAGCAAATAATAAGTGCTCAATGAATATTTATTGAATTAAATAAATGAATGTTTTGGAATAGTGTGTATGCTATGTGCCCTGTCCTAGACAATCGACTAAGGACACATGAGATATTGTCCCTTCTCTTTTAGAGGCTTTCAGTATTATGAATCCTGGCTTTCCACACATTCCCTACTTCTTAATATCTTTGTTCTGCCCTTGTTTGGGTTGTTAATGTTCTAGCATATATGATCAGACCACTCTCTGATAACAGGACACAGTCTTCCTCCATTCTGTCTGATAAAAAGAAGATAAGAATGGGTTCAGTTGCAGAACTGAGGGAGTTTCTGTGTGATGGCTTATACTTTATCTGTGAAATAAAAAATTAAGGTACATGGGTGGGGAGACTGATGTGGAGAAGTGGTAGAAACTGCTAGTGCTTCATAATACTAATGTTCTCTCATCCTTCCTGGACATAGAGGTCGCAGCTTCCCTTGTCATTAGGTGCATCCAGGTATCTGATTTTTGGCCAAAGTAAATATTGGTGGAGGCAATGTACACTGGCCCATTTAACCCATGGGGACATCTCTGAATTCTCTCTTTTTCTAAACTACAACTGAATTAAGAGGTTTCTGAGCATTTAGATAAAGTTGTGAAGATTGCTAAACTATTACCTGTCAGTTCCAAACCTGCCTTTTTACTTACTGCTTTGCCATTCTGCAGTGGAGTCTTAGCAAATTGCATTTCTTCTTTGCCACATGACTCTTAGGCTCTGCCAATAGGGAACAATAAAAAGAGCTCAAAAGAGAGGAAAATGGAAGAAGGGACTTCCTCCTTTATGTCTGCTTTTCATCCCTGTCGGTGTTACACTAACTGTGGCCCTTTACCTTAGCAGCAGCAGTTGGTACCAGTCTCCAGCTTTTATTCCAGCAATTATAGAACAAATCTCCTTGTTCCATAATAGGTATTATATTATATCTCAGAGGTAACAGCCAGATAATGGCCCTCTTCAACTCTTGAGTCCCAGATCCATGGCATCTTGCCCAAATGTCTCGATTCTCTAACTCCTACCTGTTACCTTTGGTCTCCAACCTAGGGGCAGTATGTGCTTTCTGGTGATACTGTCTCACCAGAGATAGTATTTCCTTAGTGTTCCATTATTCACTTTTTCAATCTTCTAGCACCGATTTAACTTACTCCTTATACTAAATATTCTCTCTGAATTTCTAATGTAGTTTACTCCTATTGGACACTGACTGTAAGATGAATTTACAAAATGGAACGAGCCTGATCTCTGAG